>NT_187679.1:0-300000 GCF_000001405.40 Homo sapiens
GAATTCACTACCAAAAAAAACAATTTAAAAATCCACCACCACTACCATTACCTTCCTACATGCGCGCACACACACACACACACACACACACACACACACGTCAACTTAAAGTACATAAAATCCTGAGTACTCCTAGGCTTCTGGTAACAATACTGGCTGCTGGATAGGAAAGTAAAGGGGGTGAGGCGCTCTGGGAGGGTTAGCCTGGAGACAGTTGAAGGCTTGAATGGCAAGTCGGACGGCTTGGCTGCAACCCCGGCTCTGTGACTTCCCTGATGTTTGACTTTGAGCAAGTTTCCATGCCCCTCTAATATGGGAGTAACGGTAATGTCTGTCCTGTAGTGTAAGGATTGAATGGATTAAATCAAAAGTAAAAGTTTATAAAAGTGTCTAGCATATAAACAGCACTTGGTTAAGCTATTGCTAATATTATTTCCACTGTTTTAAGTGTTTAACTTTATGCCAAATGACTGATTTTTTAAGCAATTCAAACATTTTTATCATTTTGAAAGACTGACATTTTCCAGATTGCATAAATTGTGTTGTCAAGCACACATTGGCACACCACACATACACACGCACACTCACACACATCACACAACTCAGTCACACACTCACACACATACACCACACATACGCACACTCACACACCAGTCACACTCATACACCACACATACACACGCACTCACACACACATACACACCCACATACACACACACGCACACACACCACACATACACACGCAGACATACGCACACACTCACACACACAGTCTCACACACACACATACACACGCACACTCACATTTTGGGTCACTGCATTAATTCCATATGATATCTAAGAAGCATTTGCCTCCAGTGAGTTACCATAACTCTTCCTCCCAGTGAGCATTTTTCTAAAGAATTTATTACCATTTGCGAGGAAAGAGTCCCCACATGATACATCATTTCAACTTCTGATTGAAAAACAATTGCTACATTTAAGCATGAATATGTAACTTGTGGTAGTGATTATGAGGGGTGACCTAGTTTCATGAAAAAGCACCCCATTATTTTGTTTCTGCTTACAAAAAGTATCAGAAAAGTCAGGGACCATTAAGTAAAATGTAAAAAATAAGACATAAGCTGCACGCAGTAAAAATATAATGTGCTATTCACTGTTTAATATTTGTTAAAATGATTCCATCAGTTCAAGGACTGCCTGTGTATTTCCTGTTTTACTTTCTGCTTTCTTTTTGTTCCAGAGAAATCAGGCACGAGTTACTGGAAATGCTATTTTTAAAGTTTATTAAAGAGATTTGATGAAAAAGAAAATAGTTTCTTTAATTTCTTATACTCAGGTTTGCTCTTTGGAATAATTCCTGATTAGGGACAAATATTCACTGGAAGCTCTCCTTGTGTGCAGCATGTCAGGATGGAAAGAATGAGGACTTGGGGGCTGGAGTAAAACTTTGCTTTCCATTTGCAGCCGACGGCCAGTTGAGTGAGCATACTTCACCTATCTTATTTCTTTACCTTCATGTCCTTGTCTATTAAATTAGGGCATTTGACCAACTGATTTCCAAGTTATCTTTAGCATAATCTATAATATTAAGAAAAAAACTATGTGTTTTCAGAAACTCTAAAATATAAAAGCTTATTGTATCAAAATGAATAAGTTGATTCTCCATCAATATGTTGTGAATTTAACAAAATATTTCTTATTCAAATTATGTAATAATACATTTTCAACTAAGATTCACTATCTGGAACTTCTGGGGCCTTCCAGAATAGCACTAGCATGTAATTAATAATAAATAGGATGTTAAGATATAATAATGATACATTTGTCCTCTTTGATTGAACACCAGTAACTCAAGACCTCTTTGATATGACAAAAGAACAAAAGAACCTGGGGAGAACACGTAAACCTAAGTTTGAAAATGAGCACGGATGTTCCTTACCTTCAACACAAACCCAGACAACAGCGGCAGTGTGCGCGGCCTCCCGGCCCTTTACCTTCAACACAAACCCGGACAACAGCGGCAGTGTGCGCGGCCTCCCGGCCCTTTACCTTCAACACAAACCCGGACAACAGCGGCAGTGTGCGCGGCCTCCCGGCCCTTTACCTTCAACACAAACCCGGACAACAGCGGCAGTGTGCGCGGCCTCCCGGCCCTTTACCTTCAACACAAACCCGGACAACAGCGGCAGTGTGCGCGGCCTCCCGGCCCTTTACCTTCAACACAAACCCACACAACAGCGGCAGTGTGCGCGGCCTCCCGGCGGCAGTGGGCGCGACCTCCCGGCAGCAGTGGGCGCGACCTCCCGGCGGCAGTGGGCGCGACCTCCCGCGGCAGTGTGCGTGACCTCCCACGTCAGTGTGCGTGAACTCCCGCGGCAGTGTGCGTGACCTCCCACGTTAGTGTGCGTGACCTCCCGGCGGCAGTGTGCGTGACCTCCCACGTCAGTGTGCGTGAACTCCCGCGGCAGTGTGCGTGACCGCGTGGCGGCAGTGTACGTGGCCTACTGGCGGGAATGTGCGTGACCTCCAGGCCCTTTACCTTTGCCTGTGACCTCCCGGCCCTTTACCTTTGCCTGTAACTTTCCCAGATTGCTTGTAAGTACGTGCAACGCTTTAAGACGTGACTTAGATTCTTTCAAAAATGTAGACTCCCCCAGGAAATAACTACTTCATCTTTTAGAATTGCACATAAATGATTTTTAAGATTCTTGAGTCTTCCAGAGTGGGAGAACGCACAGAACTGGAAACCTCGGGGAGATGCGACAACCTTTGTGTCCACCCCACTTTGCTGTGAGCCAGTTCCCTCAGGAACAATGTAGCCCAGTGGTGTGCCCTGTGTTTACTGCTGAAAATTCAGGAGAGAAACAAACCAGCCAACAATCAGAGTGAGCAAATCACTTCTATCCTACCTCTCATGAAATAATAGAATTTTTTAAAAAAGGAAAAAAAAATTCAAGAAAGAGTATAAGAAGGTCTCTAAATCAGTTTGGGATGCTATAACGAAAAATACCACAGACTGGGTGGCTTAAACAACACACATTTATTTCTCAAAGTTCTGTAGGCTGAGAGGACCAAATCGCTGGCAGATGCAGTGCCTGGTGAAGGCTGCATCCGCGTGAGACGTGCTGTCTCCTCATTGTGTCCCACGTGGCAGGGGGAGCAGAGAGGAAGCCTGCTCTCATGGTCTTCTCATAAGAACACTAATCCCACCATGAGGTCTCTGGCCTCATAACATCTGCACCCAAAGGCCCTGTCTCCAAATACCATCACAATGGGGACTAGGGGGCCCATATAAGAATTGTGGAGGGACAGAAATATTCAATCCACAGCAGGAGGCCTGCAGAATTCCTAAAAGAAAGAAAGTGTATTAAGCCAACAAAGAAAGAATATGGGGGAAAACAGCCTGGAAGAAATCTGAAAGACAATTATGAGAAAATGCTATTGACTAGACATGGGTTTTGAGGAGCTCCGAGTTAAGGCTCCACAGATAAAAACTGCTCTGGGATAGTTGTGGTGGGTAGTTAACATGGTAACCACAACAGAAGCACCTGGACCCCTCTGGCCCCTACATCTTCTTCCCCTTTACGGAGCAGTGGTCGGGAAGAGCATTTGCCCCTGAGAAGGCAGGAAGTGAGATTTCCTGAGCAAGAGAATGAGGAGCGTGCCCAGGGAGCTGCTAGCATCCGAGAAAGAACTCATCCATCCTGAGAGCCCTCAAATAGCGCCTCACCTGCAGTTGCTACCCACGACTGACTCCTAGAAACAGAAGACCCCAACAGACCATGACTGACTCCTAGAAACACAAGAGCCCAATGGACCATGACTGACTCCTAGAAACACAAGAGCCCAGTGGACAAGGATTTCAAAGGAAAAGACAAATCCACAAGCATTTGGGCAAACCCTGTGCCAGGAGTCAAATACACCAAACTCGATGGAAAGAAGCACTAACAGCAACCTAATTAATAAATATAACAAGTGTAACTAATTATGACAAGGATATTAGAGAAGATTATTTATACCTTACAAAGAAATACCTGGTGATCTCAGAATCTTTTAAATATAATTGTCAAAAAATTCATGGGTGATCTAAAAGGTAAAATGCACTCAATTGAAAAGCAAATTAGTTGAAATATTTTTAAAAAGATTCTCCCAGGAAACTAGCCAAAAGATCCAAATGTGGAAAGTGTTTGAGAGTTAGAAGCACAAAGAATATTCCAAAATCTTAGAAATGCCCATGGGAGAAGTGCCAATGGAAAGTGGAAATAATTACAGAAATGATAGAAATCGATTTCTAAAAGCTGAAAAACAACTCAAGTCTCCAAATTTATAAGGGCCACTGAGTGTCAAGAAGGATAAATAAAAAATAATGAGAGAGGCCAGGTGCAGTGGCTCACGCCTGTAATCCCAGCACTTTGGGAGGCTGAGGCAGGCAGATCACGAGGTCAAGAGATCAAGACCATCCTGGCCAACATGCTGAAACCCTGTCTCTACTAAAAATAAAAAAAAATTAGGTGGGTGTGGTGGCACGTGTCTGTAGTCCCAGCTACTGGGGAGGCTGAGGCAGGAGCATCACTTGAACCCAGGAGGCAGAGGTTGCAGTGAGCCAAGATGGCGCCACTGCACTCCAGCCTGGTGACAGAGTGAGATTCCATCTCAAAAAACAAAACAAAAAATAGACAATCCTAATTTAGTCCATGTTTTACACCAAAAGTACAAGTTGAGGGGTACTTAAAAATTGGTGTATTAATGTGTGCGTGTGTGATATATGTAACACGGATCCCTCCATAATGTATCAGGAGAAGGCTCAAAAGGAACACAAGTAACTATTAATAGTGGAACTTCTGGGAAAATGAGTAGATTAAAAAAAGAAGAGAAGAGTGAAGGTCTTCACATAACTTTATGTGGATTGCTTGAATCTTTTATAATTAAAATGCCTTCGTGTATTATTTGACTTAATCCGAAACTAATTGAAGAAAATTAGTACTATTTTAAT
Source organism: Homo sapiens (assembly GCF_000001405.40). Classification (NCBI taxonomy): domain Eukaryota; kingdom Metazoa; phylum Chordata; class Mammalia; order Primates; family Hominidae; genus Homo; species Homo sapiens. The sequence continues at coordinate 4,997 of NT_187679.1, forward strand.
TGATTAATACCCTTTTAAATAGAAATTTTAAATTAACATTTAAATAATAGTATTTTACTTAATATTAAAAGTAAGATAATTTAAAATTTAATAACTAGGAATATAAGAAAATAATATGAAATATTCCACCACTTAATATTTAAATTCATATCAGATATATAAAATGTGACAACTAAAAGAACTTTCATTATTAGAGGAAATTTGGAATAGTAGGTCTTGTTAACTAGTAAATGCTTATAATGCCATACCAAATATTGAGCTTTCAGAAAGTCACACTAACAAGAATAAGAAATTCTATAGCCAAAGTCTTTCAATAATATGTTGGACATGGTGCCTGCACATATTAAAGGAAATGGCATAAATTAAAGGGCCCCACAAGTTAAAAATAAATAAAAAGACTTGTATCAATTTCTCCAACAAAAATAGCCTTATAACAAGTAGATCTGGTTTGCTTAGGAAGAAGTAACAGAGAATTTAAATATCTTTCAGAAAGAGAGACATGAAAGATCATCCAGGCTTTTCTTTGAAATGAAAGTATTTATTAGCTAGCACTAGATTAACTTTCAATAAAATACAGGAGCCCAACCTCGCTTCTTAAAATTAAGTTAATTTTAAAAAGGACCCTTGGCTGGGTGTAGTGGCTCACTCCTGTAATCCCAGCACTTTGGTAAGCCAAGGTGGGAGTATCGCTTGAGCCCAGGAGTTAGAGACCATCCTGGGCAACATGGTGAGATCCCATCGTTACAAAAAAAATACAGAAATTAGCCAGGCATGGTGGTGCATGACTGTGGTCCCAGCTATTTGAGAGGGAAAAATTGGAGGATTTAAAAAAAAAAAAAAAAAGCACCCAGACCATCAGCATGTGTTAGTTATAGCACCTGGACATGGATACTCAGCAACACTTTCTGAGTGAACGAGGAACGGGCTCTGATAATCCCCTGGCGTGCCCACATTGGATTGGTGATGCTGATGGACACTGCATGAGCAAAATGCCCTCTAAATTGAGCAGTACTTTGCTTTCACGGCCATGTCCACCACAAACCAGCTGTAAAGATCCTAAGCAAATAATTTCCTGATTTTATAACATTAATATTTGTCTTGATTATCTTCCCACTTCAAAAGAGATGGTCATATGAAGTATATGCTAGTGTTCTAGGTAAAAGGAATATTACGTAATGATATAAATCATTCCAGTACAATGTCATAATTGCTACACAGTACTCTCCTTTTCAATATTTCAGCAACAAAACAGATTTTTACATGACTTTTGCTCTGCAGACAGTGAGTAGTCAAGGCAGAAAGCACTGGAATTTCCAAACATTTTATCTGCGTCTTGTAAAATCACATGAATGATGAGACCTCATGAACAATAATTTGGGTCAGGTGACATGGTGTGTCTGCACATACAACATGCAGGCTCAATCTTTAACCACTTGGGTTAGCCTGTAACATTGGAAAAAAAAAAAAAAAGAAAGAAAATGAGGGCAGGGAAATTCGCCACGAGCAAGGGACACAGTGTGACGGCCACAGAGAAAGTGAAGGAAGTTAGAGACGGGCACAAAGTTGCCATTCACACCCAACAGAAGATTTAAATCTGAGCTTCTGATTACTGATTGCTTTGTTCACTCCTGTATACAACGAGGGAGGAAATTAATCAGTTCTTTTTTTTACCACAAGATTAGAAACAGCTATTCAAAAGAAAAGGGGATGCTGATCACTCACTAAGTAATCTGATAACTTTTTAAATTCCACCCTAAATAGACAAGCCCTAAGTCATTCTTTCACAATCATAAAAAGGCTTCACATTGCTTATGGACAATATGTCTTTGGTTACAAAAAAAATAGTTTGAAAAATAAGGTAGATAAACTTTGTACTCAAGTGAAATTGAAACACTACACGAAATGCTTACGCTGTATGGAATTTAAAGGTATTTTGCATGGATATATATCAAAGGCCAAATTAGCAATTCTAAAAAATGTGATAACGTGCATTCACTAAGTTTTAGTGAGTCTTACAGCATGCATAGATACTGACTTACACAGGTGTCTATAAAGTAATGAGCAACTCTACAAGCTCCATATAAAAATTAATAACAATATCACCCTATGTATTAATCACACCTCTATACACTTTACATGTGTTAACTTATTCACTCCTCACAACAACCCAATGAAGTAGCTGCTATGATTATACCCATTTCAAAATGTAAAAAATGAGGCACAAAAAAGTTAAAAACTAAAACTGTCCAAAAACCAGCTCTGAAGATGTAGAATCTGGATCCCAATCTAGAATCTAGAAGCAGAGTTACAACCACTGCATGATATCTTGCTCCATGCCTCATGCAAACATGCAGCCCTAGTCACATTGCAATTTATAATATAAGCCATCAAGAAGAATGTTTACTGGAGTGGAAAGGGTTAAGACTGTGAGAGGAATAGATGGTCAAAGAGCAACTCTGAACTAAGTAGTCTCAGGGTGGCTATATCTTATATAAATAAGATTATGAGTCCTATGAAGAAGTCAACATAGGCGAAAGTACACTGAGATTGGGACCCAAGCATTGACCTGGTAACACTGAAGATGAGTTGGTTATTTTAAAAAATTATCCTAAATTCAGGCAGTTGTAAAGGATTTAATTTCCAGCCTATTTTAATACTGAAAAATTTAAATAATTGATTACATTATTAGCTTAAGTATATCCAGTGATATTTACGTACTATATAAAACTAAGCCTTTATAAATAAGCTTTTCTCACAGCCAGAAATTTTACATTGCTTTTTTCTCCTTAAATCCATTTTCATCCTCACAGAATTTTTTTTATGTAACATACTTGTGCTTAAAAGTCTTTTATTGATAACCCAATCATATTCTGCAAGCAATATTCTAGATATAAATTTAAATTTGTTATACTTAGTATTTCATGTGACCATAAGTCACGTAAATATTTAAGAAGTTCTTCAGAATTGTATTATCATTACGGTTATTATTAGAACTCAATTTTAAAAACACATAAATATTTTTTAGATTTTAAGTGATTGATAAACCTGAAGTCAGTTATTATTGGAAATGCATCTCTTCATGAGATGAATGGAGCTTATTTTTTCCAGTGGGTCACATTTCCACAGATGTTACTGCTACAATGAGGTCGGATTCAACATCCGTTTTATTCCTACTTTTCACTTTTATAGATGTAATTTCTAAAACCTTGTTCCCATAAACAAGTAGATGGAAATTGAAGGAGTTTGTTTATAGCAACGTCACTCAATGGTTTTAAATCCTTTTGAAGTATATGCTGAAAATTCCATAATCATTTACATTAACAACAATCATAGGTAATTATCTAGCAGCTTCTCCTCCAGAGCAAAGAAGTGGACCCTACCTGGCCCACGAAAGCATTTTCACGCAGTCATCGGAGTCATTTTCTTTTTTTTTTTTTTTTTTTTTTTTTGAGACGGAGTCTCGCTCTGTCGCCCAGGCTGGAGTGCTGTGGCGCGATCTCGGCTCACTGCAAGCTCCGCCTCCCGGGTTCATGCCATTCTCCTGCCTCAGCCTCCCAAGTAGCTGGGACTACAGGCGCGCGCCACCACACCCGGCTAATTTTTTGTATTTTTAGTAGAGACGGGGTTTCACCGTGTTAGCCGGGATGGTCTCGATCTCCTGACCTCGTGATCCGCCCGCCTCGGCCTCCCAAAGTGCTGGGATTACAGGCGTGAGCCACCGCGCCCGGCCCGGAGTCATTTTCATGCAGTCGTCATCAGAGCCATGAACTCTCTCAACAGTGATATCCCTCGTCCTTCCTTTAGGGCTACTCCAGGTTTTTATAACTTGGGTCAGGCTCCCAGAAAGATTCATACCTGGGAAGACGTGCTTTCCAACTGGGAACGGGGAGGCAGGAAAGGAAAGGCCAGTTCTTTCATGTCAGGCTTGTTCTCAGGGAGATTAATTTTAGGAGAAACTAAAATGAAGCTAGGATCTGAAAGTGATCTCTCTTATACGAAGTCTCGCACCTGTTGAAAAGCCTTTGGTTACCCCCAAGATATACATTCCCGTGTGAGTTCAGGTCTGTGGGTTTGGGAGAGTGTGGGAAGGACACGCCCCCAGTTAGCCTCAGTCTCCCCTTCTGTGAAGGGGGAGGTAGCGATCCTGCATCCTTGTGACGACAGTGACAGTGTCTGGCGCATGGAGCTTGACACCAAGCTGACACTCAGTGGCTGAGCATCTTCCCTTGTGCTTGTCACTGCAGCTCAGGCTTCCTGTGTCCTCTTCCCAGGGTCACCTCGAGGCCTGTCTCCTGTGGCTCTGCTCTGGGGTTAAAATTTTTTGTATTCTTTCTGCCACCTTCCTGCTCTCCCAGTCCCGAGTGGCCGCATCCCTGCTTAGCACAGTCTCCTGTTTTCTTTCCATCATAGCGTCTAACCTTACATGATTGTCTCATCTTGTTTTGTCTTGTTTGCTTGTTTCCTTTTATTACGTGTTGCCGACCCCTGGAAGGTTGGCTCTGTAGAGCAGGATGCCATCTGCCCAGAGCCTTGAGTGGCGCCCAGCAGAGGAGAGCTGTTGTAAATGATTGTTTGATGAAGTAAAGGAGTGAGTGAATGCATTAGTTTGCCATGGCTGCCATAGCAAAGCACCATAGACTGAGTGGCTTAAACCACAGACATGTATTTCCTCACAGTCCTGGAAGCTGGAAGTCTAAGATCAAGGTGTTGGCAGGGCCAGTTTCTTCTGGGGTCTGTCTCGTTGATGTGCAGGTGATGGCCTTCCCTCCTTGCCCTCCCTCGGTCTGTGTTCATGTGCCTTCCTCTCCTCTGCTTCTAGGAGCCCTGTGCACAAACATTCGTAGCAACTGTATTTTTAATGGCCAGAGATGAGACACAGTCCAGTGCCCATCCGCTGGGGAATGGACGAATGTATCGTGGGACACCTGCATGAGAAATTCACTCAGCAAATGAGAAAGAACAGCTGACAGCAAAACGGCACAGGTGAACCTGGAAGCAAGATGGTAAGTGATAGACGCCAGAAACAAACACCCTGCAGAAGTGGGTCCATCTATGTGACACTGCAGGAAAGGCAAGACTTTAAGGACAGAAAGTAGATCAGTGGTTGCCAGGAGCTGAGGCTAGAGAAGGGGATTGACTTCAAAGGGGATTGATTTGATGGGAGCTGGAAAACTGCTATAATTTCATTGTGCTTATGGTTACTGGAGTATATATACTTGTCAAAACCCATCAACTGTACACTTAAAATGGGTAAATTATATATAAATTTAACTCAATAAAATGGATTTTACAAAAATCAGAGCATAGCAAAGATTCTTTAGAATCCATATTTTCGTATGATAGCCTACCACAGAATTTTTGCAAATATATTTTTCACATATATTTTGGGGGAAAATACACACATGCAAACACACACACACATTTATATGTAAAATAAAGCAAATAGAAGTGTAGGTTTTATTTGCAAAGTTGTTGAGAATGCTAGGGTGGTGGAGAGCCACGTCAGGCCGAATCTCAGCTCTCCCTACAGCTGCCGAGATGGTGCCTCACAACGTTTCCTCGTTTGACTCCCCAGACCCCAAAGCCTCCTGAGCAGTCAGCGAAGACGCTGGAAGGATCCCCGAACCGTCATTATTTACCTCCATTGACTGAAGCACATTTAAAAGTTGGTTTACACTTTCCACTCCATATCATTTAATAATGTCATATTGAACTGTTTCCCCAAGCAATAAAAAATAAATCCTTTAATGCTATAGACAAAGTATAATAGCACTCAATAGAAAGAAAAGAAATTTGAAGGGCTTAGATTTCTTACTCTCCAATTGGAAAAGTAAGAATTTTGGGGAAAAAACACTTTTGCCTAGAAAAGCATATTCCATAGAGGACAGATGGAAAGGATATTTGTGTTTAATTTAAATGTTCTGCAAAAGTTCACTCTTCCAGCACCACGGCAACACCCGCAGGTCTCTGACAAGTGACAAGAACACTTTATGCTGAATCCTCAGCAGGATCTGAGACCTATTAGGGATTTTGAATCCATCTGGAGCTCGAGGAATCTCTGAAATGAGGCAAACCAGGGAAGGGCTCTGAGGAGACTTCCACACACTCCTCCAATCACACATGCAGCCCAAATTCCCCAAGTTTCCTGTTCTGGTTAATTAGAGATCCCAGTTTCATGATCACTGACTGCCCTTTCTTCGGGGGCTGGTTTGGTTTAACGATTCCTGACATTTCATCCACGGCACTGAGCTTTTTTACAGCAATAGAAAATAACAGCCTCTCTCCCTGACAGCAGAGCAGGTTGTTCGATGCTGTAACTAGAGGAACAGTGATGGCTCTCCTCTGTGCTAACTCACGGCACAATAGGTGGGACATCAAGAATAATGACATCAAATGGCCGTGGAAACGGATTCGCAGGATGCGCAGGTGAACGCCCATTTCAAGCTAGACACTCTCTTGTGTCCTGTGCCGCTTCCAGCAGCAAAGAGTTCTCACCGCTTTCCGCTCCTCGTTTGAGTGTGGGAAGCTGCCAGGAAGGCTCCTTTTGAAAAGCTGTGATCTGAGGGTCCAACCAAACCTGGGGCTTTGAGGACTCTCCCCAGGAGGCAGCCCCTTCAGTACCTGTGCGGAGGCAGTGATCAGAATAAGAGGAGTGCAGGAAATGCAAAGGCTACCTGGTGACAATCCAGTGTTTGGGGCCAGCAAGGACTTGTTGAGATCAGCGGTAAGAACTGTGGATAATGACACAAGCAGCTGCCCAAGGGAGCCTGAGGGAGAACAAGCATTAATGACCTCAGAGACTTGTTCTCTTTCTAGTCTTTTCCTGAAATGCCAAACCATGGAGCCAGTTATCAATCAAGGGAGTGAAATATATCGGAGGATGGGTTTGGTTTGCTACAGTGACAGCCAGCTTCGCTTTTGAATACTCTTTGAAAACAATTTTTACCGTGCAATGCTGGAAAAAGCCAACAAATAATAAACCTGTCGCAGTACTCACCAAGAGCTCATAAATACAAAAGTCAGCCTTGCAGCTGCAAAGAAACGCCATTCCTAAGCTTGAAAAATTGTCAGTACTCAATCATTGCATCTGATACCAATTTTCATTTCGGGCTGTGATTTGGGACGACTCTTATCTTCAGCACTCCAGAGGCGGGAGCCTCCTGCTCCCACTGGGCGGTCTTAGGGTTAGGGTGGAGGTGCTGCCATCAGATGGAGATAACAGCAGTTCTTTGAGTTCTTTTTAATTTTCCCAGCTGTGCTGCAGTTACACACCAATAAGCTCATCTTTTCATTTGGTTCAAAAAACTATGCAGAACTGTGCTAGTCCTGCATTTTTGGTGATAACATTTCAAAGGTAAGAGAAACACATTTAATGACAGCCATAGGCCCTGGGCTCTGCCTGGGAGCCCAGTGCTCCTCCTCCTGAAGCAATTCTCATTATGCCACATCCCCCAGACACTTTGTTACTGTCTGCCTGATTCTCGTCCGCCTTCTCTGCCCTTAGGGAAAAATCATCACACAAACCCTGTTGAGAGAAATGAGAACTTTACTGAGGAGCCCTGTGTTGAGTGGACACACTTCAACAATTTCCTGTAGCTTTCATGGGATTCAGCTGCAGCAAATGTATGACCTGATTCTTCAAAGGAGGACCAGGAAGCTGCCTGCTGGGTTCTTTGTGGAGGGTTCACTGTGAACAGGAGGAATTTGCTTCCATGAAGCATAGTGTTGCTTCTAATCAAGGGAAAGTTTCCAGGTTCTCAGAAGGTTCCCATTTCCTGAGAGGTGCCAGGTCACATACTTTGGTGTTGAAACTAAAAGTTACTGGATTTGGAAGTGACAGCTATAGGCCTATATTCCTCAGCAAGGTGCTTCTCAGTAGTGAGAGGTCGCTTGTTAAACGAGTTGTCTTTTTCCACATTCGATTTCCTCGCACCTGGACTGCGTGGTTGGTGGAGAGGTACACACAGCCCCCTGTGGGGTCTGCTCTTCTGTGAATCTAATGCACGTCACCTCCTGTTTCCTAGGGAGCATCTCCCTTTGTTGAGCCTCAACGTGCAGTTATTTTTACATGATCTCCCTCTACTGAACCCCTCTGAATCTAGTAGGCCATTTGTGTACAAATGTGACAATTTGTTTTTTAATTTTTAATTTTTTAACTTTAGGTTCGGGGGTATATGTGCATATTTGTTATATGGGTAAACTTGTGTATCAGGGGTTTGTTGTACCCAGGTACTTATTTTATCACCCAGGTATTAAGCCTACTACCCAAAAGCTGTTTTTTTCTGATTCTCTCCCTACTCCCACCCTCCACTCTCAAGCAGGCCCAGTATCTGTTGATCTCCTCTCTGTGTCCACGTGTTCTCATCATTTAGCTCCTTCTTATAAGTGAGAACATGCAATATTTGGTTTTGTGTTCCTGCATTAGTTTGCCAAGGATAATAGCCTCAGCTCCATCCATGTTGCTGGAAAGGATATGATCTCATTCTTTTTTATGGCTGCATAGTATTCCATGGTATGTATATACCACATTTTCTTTATCCATTATGTCATTGATGGGCATTTGGCTTGATTCCCTCTCTTTGCTATTGTGAACAGTGCTGCAGTGAACATAAGCATGCATGTGTCTTTACGGTGGAGTGATTTACATTCCTTTGGGTATGGACCCAGTAATGGGATTGCTGGGTCATATGGTAGTTCTGTTTTTGGCTCTTTAAGCAATCACTACACTGCTTTCCACAATGATTGAACTAATTTACACTCCCACCAACAGTGTATAAGAGTTCCCTTTTCTCTGCAACCTTGTCAGTATCTGTTCTTTTTTTTTTAACTTTTGAATAAAAGCCATTCTGGCTGGTGTGAGATGGTATCTCACTGAGGTTTTGATTTGCATTTCTCTGATGATCACTGATATTGAGCCTTTTTTCATATGCTTGCTGGTTGCATGTATGCCTTCTTTTGAAAAGTGTCTCTTCATGTTACGATTTGTTAGTGTGCTTAAGCAACCATGTCCAAAATGGTTAAGAATAGACAAATCACTCCCAAGAAAGACAAAGAACCGCACCATTAGTGGTTACCTGGTAACATACAAGACCCTCAGACCTAGAGGGACTTCCTCCAGAGACCGACGGCTGACATAGCAGGAACCCTACAGGCTGTCTCTCCTGATGCCCCAGTGCGCTGCTTTCAGGGAATGGTCCCACAGATGAATGTTCAGTCCTAGCAAATGAAAACTCAACAACAAAATGTGTTGCTGTAATAGAAAAAGTAATGTTGTCTGTCCAGACTTTCCATGGAAATATTGGTTTATACACTCACTATTGACAAATTAATCTCATTTGAAAACAAGTAAAATATAGCTACATGGTATAGCAAAAACATATGCCTTTTTGGCAATTGCTATATCAAAAATAATTTACTCAACTACTTTTTACTGGCTGAATTGATCAGTTGTTAAAGCCAAAATAATCTGGAGTCATCCTTGAAGTTGGTCACATCTAATCAACCTAAAAGCCAGCAATACAGCCTTCAAACTATATCTTGCATCGACCAATTTTCACAACCTCTACCAATTGTACTTAGTCATCTTATGACTCCAGCCTTTTTAATACTCTCCCTGTTTCTGTCTTTTCCATTTCAGTTAATTCTCTACACAGCAGCCAGGAAGCTCTTTGTAAATCATAAGCCATATCATGCCAGTCCTCTGCTCGAGCACTGCAAGGGGTTCCAATGGTCGGGTTTGGCAAACTTTTTCTGAATGTGGCCAAGTAATAAATAGCGTAGGTCTTATGTGACTACGTAGGGCCATGTGACTTCTGTTGTAACTTCTCACATTTGCCACTGGAGCATGGACGCAGCCACAGAAGATGCTTAAGTAAATGGGTGTGGCTTTGCACTAATAAAATCTTTATTTACAAACCCAGTGCAGGCTGCTTGTGGACCAAATTGTTTGGTGACTCCTGGAATAGAAGATCATACATGATCTTGCTTCTGGCTCCCTGTGCTAAAATTCTCCCACTTAGTAACTTCACTTTAATCGTAATGCTCTCCTTGCTGTTCTGGAAAGTGCCCAGTACAATCTCACCTTGATTCCTCTGCATTTGCTCTATGTTGTCTTAAAATACTTGATTTAGATACATGTGGCTGTGTAATAAATCATACTGAAACTTGGTAGCTTAAAACAATAAAGACATGTATTATCTTTCACTATCCTCTGGATGGACTGGGCTCAGCTGGGCAGTTCTTCTTTCACATGTGGTGTCAGGGACGCACTCACCTGGAGGAGGCTCAACTGAGCAGAAACACAACAGATGGCTCATTCACCTGCAGGCAGCTGGTAGCAGCTGGTATCTGGATGCTCAGCTGGAGGTAGGTCCTCCTCCATGTGGCCTGTTCATGTGGCTTGAACTTCTTATAACATGGTGGCTGCGTTACAAGAAGGAATGTTCCAGGATCATAACAGTGGAAGCTACAGATCTCCAAGGTTCCCACCTGGGAACTCACAGAGCATGGTTTCTTCTATAGACTGTACATCACAGCAAGGTTCAGGGGAGGATTCTGAGAACACCTTTCAAGGGGAGGATTAGGACACAATTTGCAGCCCTCTTCAATCCACTACATGTTCTTCCCTATCTGTTTTATTTAGGTTCAAATGTGACCTTTTCAGACAGGCCAGTTGTGGCCACCCTTGCCGTGTACTCAAGAAACTTTTTATCTGCTTGACCTAATTTTTCTTACTGCAATTGTGCATTGTGTATATTTATTTGTTCATTTTTTTGTTTTCTCTTTTCCTACTGCTAGAAGAATGTGTGTTCCCTCTTTGTCTGTCTGTTCATGATTCTCTCACCAGTTCCTAGGATAATTCCTGACACAAAGAAGGCATTCACTAACTGTTTCCTGAATGAAGAAGTGTTGGCTGTATAATACGGACTGTGCCAGCCATGGAGGATAAAAAGATTAATCAGATCGTATTTCTGCTCTAAAACATCTCATGACCTAAAACTGAGAGGCTGCTGATCTGGAATTGATGCTATGGCTTCTCAACTTCAACAGTTTGGAAGAGAATCACAAAATTGTGTCATTTATAAGCAAAGTTCAAAGTACTAAAAAAAAATAGGAACACTACATATTTCAATGCATGAGTACACATAGGGCTCCCCTCCTCTGCCAATGGCAGGGACTACCAGAGCTTCTAAAGGCATTTTAAAGTTACACTGTGAGGAGTGTCAGACTGATTAACATTTTCAGCCAACGCTGTTGAAGGTGGGATTTATCAGATTTTTTTTCATTTATATTTAAATTCTTAAATTAAGGAATAAGAAACATATTAATAAAAGCCTTAGTGATATCTTCATAGTATAAAGTATGACTTACTTTATTAATCTATTAGCATATCTTATCATATTCTGTGATATTTATAACCTGAAAAATGTCAAGGAGAGAGATGATACCAGGACTGAGAAAACATGTTAAACCATACTTGATATTTTCATTAATATTTGAGACAATATTATTTACTAAATATTGAAGCTCACAGAGAAATACAAAATAATAGCAATTAACAGTAAAATTTACTAAAATCTAGATATCCTATTATTCATTTCTAGTTTTAGCAATGCTTTGATTTTAAAGAATAAGAGGCTGGGTGTGGTGACTTACGTCTGTAATCTTAGCACTTCGGGGGGCTGGATCACCTGAGGTCAGGAGTTTGAGACCAGCCTGGCCAACACGGTGAAACCCTGTCTCTACTAAAAATGCAAGAATTAGCCAGGCATGGTGGTACATGCCTGTAATCCCAGCTACTTGGGAGGCTGAGGCAGGAGAATCGCTTGAGCCTGTGAGGCAGAGGTTGTAGTGAACCAAGATCATGCCACTGCACTCCAGCCTGGCCAACAGAGCAAGACTCCATCTCACAAAAAAAAAAAGAGTAAGAATAAGAGACACATGTTCACACTGTATATGTATTTTGGGACAGCTAGAATAAAATGATATGTAGTATATACAAATATATAGTATATACATATATAGTATATACAAATATATGATGTGTGTATATAACATACATATGCCATATATATGGTGTACAATTTTTAAAAATGATTTTTGCATTTAAGATTTAATCTTGTTCCCATAGTAGCGTAGATCTTAAGTTAGTCTTGGCCAGAGGGAAATCACTCCAACAAACCTAGCAATGTGGCTGATGTTTCTCAGAGGGTCGGAAGCACCTGGAGGGATCCCAGAAAAAGAAAAAGGTTATGGGATAGCAGGTATGGTTAGAACGGTGAGAGTTAGGGTAAAGGTTAACGGTGCAATAAAGAGACAAAAATAACATCACTCGAACAAGATGGAAGATTGTTTCTGTTTCATATGGGAGTCCATGCGTGGGCAGGCAGTAGAGGGCAGTGAGGCATACCTTCTCAATAGTGCTTCCCCCAATCTAGGTGACTTCTATATATATATAGCGTTGGTTCATGCGCTGTTATTGAGTGTGTTGCACCTGCACACTGGAACTCAGATCACCACCACACTCCCACATTCTTGACCCTGGACAGGGAGAAAGGCTGTGTGCAGGGCAAACCGCTTATTTTCATATATGTATCTGGAATTTACACACATTATTTTCACTTGTGTGTCTGTCACCAATGTTTACATGCACAGCTCCAGATGTGGTCTCTATTAGGGTGGCCAAGAGCCCTACAACAGTTCAGAGGGTTATAATCCTAAAGGGAAGAAGGGGAGAATGAAGACACAGAATAATTAGATGTCTGCAGCTTGGTATAGTTGACTAATTCTCCCATCCCCCAAACTAACTGATTATCTTTACTTAATCTGGACAGTAGTATTCTTAGTACTTGAACTTAATAATAGTTCCTTTGTTCTTTCAGAACAGAAAAATAAATTGAAAGGAGATTACACTAGAAAAAAATAATTTTCCCCCTCTCAAAATGTGGACAACAACACGCCAGTCACACACACCTGCAAGCACACGCACCTGCAAACACACGCACCAGCTAGCACATGCACCTGCAAACACACGCACCAGCAAACACACACACCTGCAAGCACACACACACCTGCAAGCACACACACCCGTAAGCACACGCACCAGCAAGCACACACACCTGCAAGCACACGCACCTGCAAGCACACGCACCAGCAAGCACACGCACCAGCAAGCACACACACCTGCTAGCACACACACCTGCAAGCACACGCACCAGCAAGCACACACAGCTGCAAGCACACACAGCTGCAAGCACGCACAGCTGCAAGCACGCACAGCTGCAAGCACACGCACCTGCAAGCACACACACCTGCAAGCACACACAGCTGCAAGCACGCACAGCTGCAAGCACGCACAGCTGCAAGCACACGCACCTGCAAGCACACACAGCTGCAAGCACACACACCTGCAAGCACACACAGCTGCAAGCACACGCACCAGCAAGCACACACAGCTGCAAGCACACACAGCTGCAAGCACACACAGCTGCAAGCACACGCACCTGCAAGCACACACACCTGCAAGCACACACAGCTGCAAGCACACGCACCTGCAAGCACACACAGCTGCAAGCACGCACACCTGCAAGCACACACAGCTGCAAGCACACACCAGCAAGCACACACACCTGCAAGCACACACAGCTGCAAGCACACAGCAGCAAGCACACACACCTGCAAGCACACACAGCTGCAAGCATGCACACCTGCAAGCACACGCACCTGCAAGCACACACAGCTGCAAGCGCACAGCAGCAAGCACACACACCTGCAAGCACACACAGCTGCAAGCACGCACACCTGCAAGCACACGCACCTGCAAGCACACACCTGCAAGCACACACACCTGCAAGCACACACAGCTGCAAGCACACACAGCTGCAAGCACACACACCTGCAAGCACACACCTGCAAGCACACATACCTGCAAGCACACACACCTGCAAGCACACACAAAATGAGTGCAAGAGAGAATGTGCTCAGTACTTGGTCTGGTGTTCCTTGATAGCAAAATAAATAATAAGAATAAAGGCAATGATGTGTTTTTAGATCTGCAACGTGAAAACAGGGGTGGGTAGGGGGTGGGGGACATTGGTTGAAAACCGAACCAAACAAAAAAGTGCAGAGAACACACGACCAATTCTCTCATCAAAGGATCATCTTACTGTGGCCAGGTGTGGTAACCCGAGCACTTGGGGAGGCCAAGATGATGAAACCCTGTCTCTACTAAAAAACACAAAAATTAGTAGGGTGTGGTAGTGGGCACCTGTAATCCCAGCTACCTGTGAGGCTGAGGCAGGAGAATCACATTAACTCCGGAGGTGGAGGTTGCAGTGAGCCGAGATCCTGCCACCGCACTCCAGTCTGGGCGACAGAGCGAGACTCCGCCTCAAAAAAAAAAAAAAAACCATCTTATTTTGAACTCCCACTCGAGAAATACACAGCCTAAGTTGGGTGATTATACACAATGGCCACGTTCTGATGTTCTTGAATTAAACACCAAAAAGTAAAAGCAAACACTTTTCATTTAGAAGATATTCACAGACCTACTACCGATATCTCCAAAATTTCATTTTTATAGAAGAATCTAACAACAGGTTTCATATATTCAACAGATTTTTCAAGGGAAACATAAAAGATCCAAAGAGTATGACAAGAATAGAGTGAAGAAAATACTAAACAAATACTTAAAGCTGTAAAATCAGCCTCCCAGATATAACTTTGTACTTGTCAACCTATTTTACATTGTTAGTTGTTTCAATGACACATATAACTTTATATAAGAGAAGATAACATTGTGTACATAAAACCTCAAATCCTATTTATTCAATGTCATTGGATTTGTTTTAAAACAAATCATTTTTAATAACTATGAAGACACTATGTAATAGTCTGGTGTCTTGATATTTCTCATGGCTATTACATGAGAAAGCAAAAGGAAGAAAAATGTTGCAAAAAAAGGACAAGAGCTCAATGAATTTATATAAATTATTGACAGTAAATATATATCACCATCATTCATTATATAATTGAGGTTCACTTTTAGAAATCTATTTTTTTGCAGTTGCACATTGATAGTTTATATAGGAAGGAATTCATTAAAAATATTTAATCATAAAAATTGAGTAGAAGAGAAAAAGACATTAAAAGTTGAATAAAATTTCTTAAGATTTGTCTGCATTACTATTATGATTTCATTTGGAAATATTGTGAAATTAGCAAACAAATATGTTTTAATTCTTTTATAGTAAACTGAGAAGCTCTTCTACCAACCACACAGAGTAATTGACTCAGAGGAGATTAGGTTAGACTCTGGAGCCTGAACGAAGCTTCAGAACAGGGATTAGCATGCTTTATTTTACTTTATTTTATTTTATTTTATTTTATTTTATGAGACAGAGTCTCACACTGTCACCCAGGCTGGAGTGCAGTGGCACAATCTTGGCTCACTGCAACCTCCATCTCCCGAGTTCAAGCGATTCTCCTGCCTCAGCCTCCCAAATAGCTGGGACTACAGGCAGGTGCCACCGTGCCCAGCTAATTTTTGTGGTTTTAGTAGAGATGGGGTTTCACCGTGTTGGCCAGGATGGTCTCGATCTCTTGACCTCGTGATCTGCCCGCCTCAGCCTCCCAAAGTGCTGGGATTACAGGCGTGAGCCACCGCACCCGGCCTAGCACGCCTTTTCTATAAAAAGTTAGATAGTGAAAATGTTAAGCTTTCTGGGCCCCGTGCATTCTCTGTTGCAACTGTACAAACTTTCTCAGCTTGTGGGCAAATAGTAGGTCCAGGCCCCGTTTGCTGATCCCCGCTCTGCAGGATTAACCAGGCAATTGGAATAATTCTCAGTTCATGCATATCTCCTCTGAGAATATGTCATTACCTATATACATAGTTATATTTATTCTCCTATAATGCTCATGTTTATTGCTTAAAATTTATTTGTAATGCATTTTAACAAAACTCCCTCTCCTCTCCTTTCACACAATAGCTAATCATCAGTCATAGGATTGCTTTTATTTTTACTTTGAAAGTTTATAATTTATCAAATATCCCAAAGTTCACACATATTTGTCCTTGTATTTGTGTGGAAGGAAAGACTAATCTACTATATAATGCTGACTGATGCTCTAGGCCTTGAAGGAAGCATATCATGCCTGCTATCTCAGTTACTCTCCACCACCATGCTATGAGGTAGGTGCTTATCCACATGTGAAACCTGGGCCCAAAACACCTCAGTGAGTCTCCCAAGGTCACCCAGTTTATAATGGTAGTGTCAGAATTTGAACCTTTCTCCTAAATTTAAGGCTAATCCCCTCTACCTTTTCTTTGAAAATCCCGAGCCGGGCAGGGTGGCTTACACCTGTAATCCCAGCACTTTGGGAGGCCAAGGCGGGCAGATCACAAGGTCAGGAGTTCGAGACCAGCCTGGCCAACATGACGAAACCCTGTCTCTACTAAAGATACAAAAATCAGCTGGGTGTGGTGGCGCATGCTTGCAATCCCAGCTAGTAGGGAGGCTGGGGCAGGACAATCACTTGAACCCAGGAGTTGGAGGTAGCAGTGAGCCGAGATTGTGCCACTGCACTCCAGCCTGGGAGACAGAGCCAGACTCCGTCTCAAAAAAAAAAAAAAAAAGAGAGAGAAAAATCCCAGTCCTATCTACATACTCAGGAAACTTACAATTAACATGACCAGAGAATAGGCCAAATTTGGTCCTTGCCTGTTTATGTATGGCCCAGAGCTAAGAATGGTTTTTATCATTTATCATTTTTAAATGATTGGAAAAAAATTTAAAAATAATATGTCATGACATGAAAATTACATACAGTTTAAATTTCAGTATCTATACATAAACTTGTATTGAGAATAGCCATGCTTATTATTTACATGTCGCATGTGGCTACAGGGCAGAATTGATTAGTGGTAGCGGATACTGTAGAGCTTGCAAAGCCTGAGACACTTTCCACCCGCTCTTCACAGAAAAAGCGTGCCAGCTCCTGGTAGAGACTAGAGACTACTTCTCTCTCTTTTACGCTCAATCTATCCTTCTAACTAGGTATTTGCCTAGTGCTCTTAATCATACTCAGCCCACTTTCATTACAAAAAAAAAAAAGACAAAAACAGAAACAAATCCCAGGCAAACAAAATCATCTCCCACTCCACCATTTACTCCCTCCCAGCCACCATCTTTACTCTCTCTTCACAGCCAAGTTAGTCTGGAGAGCTTTCAACACTTGTCTCCATTTCCTTATGCCCCACTCGCTCATCAACCCACACCATATTGGCTTTGGGCTGTCACTTTAACAAATAAGCTTTTAGTAATGCCACCACAGAACAGAG
Organism: Homo sapiens; assembly: GCF_000001405.40. Taxonomy (NCBI): domain Eukaryota; kingdom Metazoa; phylum Chordata; class Mammalia; order Primates; family Hominidae; genus Homo; species Homo sapiens. The sequence goes on from NT_187679.1 coordinate 22,338, forward strand.
ATATATTTCAGTCCTTATCTGTCTTGTCCTCTCAGAAAGATTTTGTACTACTGACCATTTTCTCAATTCTGGAGCAAGTTCGTTCCTTTGCTTCTGTATGCAAAAATGTACTTGCTTTGGCTCCAACTTATCTCGTGACTTTTTATCTGGTTCTTGTTCAGATTTATTCTCCTCTTACCAGAATTTAAGTAGCATCATCCCTCAGGGCCCTGGAGACCCTCTTCTCTTCTTCCAATCTCTGCAACCCATAGACAATATTGCAAGGCCCACTAAGCTGTCTGAATGTGAACCAAGTCAGAGGACTTCAGGAAGGATAATTTCACAAAGACAGCAGATTTGCTTTAACCAATTATATGATGAAGCAATAAGATGATGTCAGTGATAAAGAAAAACATAATCATTTTTCAGAAGAGGGAAGAAAAAATGTAATCAAAATATTTGGGGAAAGCAACAATAAAACAGTACCAGAAAGACACATGGTCCCCATGAAACAGAATACAATGTAATATGATTTTTAGAAATTAGCTAAATTTTTTTAAAAGAGAGCCTATTTAAACATGGCACTTGGAATATTCACCTTTGAGCGGTCAGCCTTTCCTTCTGACATATATCTATACGCAGCAACTGGTATATATATAATGGTTAGAAATACATGCTATTTTTATATTGACTGGTTTTCAATTTTTAGATCAATCTATACACAAAGCAGAGAAGACAATATAATGCTGTTCTTATAAAATTTTAAAATTTTTAGATAATTGTTGACGAACAGATTTCTGAAGTTGAGGGTTGTAGAAGGACATTGAGATCCTGAATTTATGTGGGGGGTAGTCAAGGTATAAAATAAAGACATTGAAATTTAAGTGTGTTAATATTATAAGGATATCAAATGAAAGGAATTGAGTACAATTCTACCAAATATTTGGAAGAGAAGGAAGAAGTGTAGAAGTGAGGTGAGATGAGAGAAAGTCAGCTGAGCTTGTCATCTGTTGTCCCAGGAAATCACTCAGCAGAGCTTGTGGTTGATACAGCAGGTAAAGGGGGAACATGATATCTGGGACAGAAACGTGACTCCCAGGAGAAAACTAAACAGGAGGGCTCTGTGGAATGACCAGGAGCCAGGTGAATGGACTTTGCTCTTGCTTTTTTTACTCTGAACTCTTTGAATTATCTATTTACTTTTTGGACTTGTTACTTGCATAATAGGAGAAAAACAGTAATTCAAACAAGTAAATTGGAGCTTGATTCTATTTAAATATTAAAATTTAAAAGGAACAAAACTAAAAGTACTGGAAGTAAAAATTAGAAAGCCACAAGAAAATAGATAAACTAAAAATAATTTGTTGAGATATTTATATTCTCAGGCATAAAACATCTTGATTTCACTGCCAAAAAACATGATATATTCTTAATATAAAAAGTGTATGAGTTAGAAATATATAGAATCACAAAGATATTTGTCATTTCACTTCAAACAACAACAAAAAAATGGTAAAACTGTCTTCAATTCTAGAATAATGTGAGATGAGAAACCTTAAGTGTTATCTATCCTTTGCTTACGTAATCCCTATGTGCCCTCCAGTGTCCGATATGCAAGTCTTTCCTCTGCTGTAAAACACAGCTTGGCAGCAAAATGTGCCATATATAACTGTAATCTTTAGTAATGATGAGGCACTCTGTAGATTCCAGCAGGTACTTTCATTACTCCCACAAGCTTTTAAGCACCCATTATTTTTAGTCTTATATTCTCATGAATATCTTTTACATTTTACATCTAAGGAGAAATAAAAGAATAATAATTATATTTAATTATTTGAATAGCTTTTTAATCACAAGTCTCTATGCTGGAATCTGAGGGATATTTAATGCAAAAGTCATACTTGCCCTCCATAGTCAGTTTCTTTCTGCAGTTACCTTATTGCAACATGCCCAGTAGTGATAAGTCCATTTTCCGTATATACACAAGCATAGAATCTAATTTTCAAAAGGCCACCTAGGAACCCAGTCTAAATCACACCAGATACCTACATTGCTTCTCTATTTTGCTGAGAGATTGTTATCCAACATCTGTTTGCACACTTCAGTGATAGGGAGAACACTTAAACACAATAGTGGTGATTTATTGTTGAGAAACACTAGTTATTAGAATATTCTATCTTATATTGCATTGAAATTTGCTTTCCCTTTAACCCTATGGGTCCTGGTGAGGTATTACTTTCATTTTTATTTTTATTTTTTTAATGTATTTATTTTGAGGCAGAATCTTGCTCCGTCACCCAGGCTGGAGTGCAGTGATACATTCTTAGCTCACTGCAGCCTCAAACTCCTGGGCTCAAGCAATCTTTCCATTTTTGACGTCCGAGTAGCTAGCACTACAGGTACATACCACCACAGCTGGCTAATTAAAAAAAAATTATAGAGATGGGATCTTCTTAGGTTGACCGGCTGATTTGAAACTTCTGTCCTCAAGCAATCTTCCTGCCTCTTTAAAGCAACGTAGACCAGTTCTATTATTTCTCGCACTTTGCACTTATTCAAGCATCCAGAGTTAGCCATAAGGCTTTGAAGGCTTCTTTCCACTCAGTTAAATAAGCTGATTTTATATGGTTGGCTCAGGGCACAGTTTTGAAATCAGACAGACAAGAGTTCAAGTTCTATATCTGCCATTGACTAGCCATAAAGCTTGGGCAGGAGACTTAATGTGTACAGATAATAATGGTAAGTGATCTATAAGTTAGTTGTGGGATAACACATAGGAAACACTGATAAATGACTGATGTGTTTGAATCATTTATCATTTTTGTAATATTAATATTTCACAGGATGTTATGAAGATCAAATGCTATAATCTGTAGGACACTCTAAAATTTGTCAGTTCTAAAGCATTGTACAATAGTAGTCGTTATTTCCAGTTATCTTTCATCTCTCAATTATAATGGTCAACCTAAATGAAGACAAAACTACGAGTATTTCATTCACAAGCTAAGTGTAACATCCCAAACCACTAGATACGCTGCACTTTCTATTTTTGGAAATGTATACTACGACTTACAATCAAGCATTAGTTCTGAAGTGACCTTTACAAGAATTTTTATCCTTAACATATGTTAATTCTCTATGTAAACTATTATGAAAATGAACCAGAATTGAACATTTAAAATAAACTTTTTGTGGAGCAACCAACAATTCCTAAATATTCAATATGACAATTGTAGTGCAAAAACAAATGCTATTATATTGAGGAATGCATATTATTATTTTGAATATCTACTCAAGAACTTTATGATTTTCAATAGTAAGCATGGCACTTTGTGTCTCTTTCCTTGGAGCTTATGAGTCTCGCCAAAGCCCATTGACATGGGGCTAACCCAGGGGCCACTAAATCATGTCATTATGTAACTGTTAGCCTACAACTAGCGGTCATCTTTAAAAAAAAAATGGCAAGTAGAATTTTATCACGGTATATTTTATCAAAATTTGTTTCCTTGTTTTAACATGAGTATTAATGAAAATAGTATTCCAGGTAACACCTGGACAATTCACATACAAATGTTCATTAGAAATAGCAAAGAAAGGAAAATACAGCACTTTACACTGAAATGAATAAAATGCCTCCTACTTTCTAGGCATTAAAGTGTAAATTGCACTTAATTATGAATACATTTTATAGCTTTATATTTAACTTAAGTTACATATTAAGTTTTAACATTTTGAGAGATTTATCCAAATATCAACTATTCACTTCCTTTAGGCCTTATTTTTTGTTTTCACGTACACAATAAAGCAAACTAAAAAACAAAACCATCAAACTCAAAATACATATAAAAGTGGTCCATCTATGGAGTTTATAGTCCAAAAGTTTCTGACTGATCAAAGGTAATCAGAAATTATTATTTCAGTGATAAGTTCCATTCCTCCCTAGAATCATTTACTGCCTTTTAACTCATTGCCAATGTCTGGATCACCAGTGTCTATGATGTCACTTTGTGAATTTTCAGGAACCTAACGTCATGCAATCTTAGGTAAAAATGGGGAGAATATTTGAAAACAAATCATAATTCAGACATTTTTATAGTGGTATTATCTCATTGATTCATTGTATTATTTACAATTAAGGACAAAAGGTAGGCAAAATAGACCTACCTGTCAATGGCCCCTCTTTTCTCAAGTTAGGACATTTTGCTTTAGAAGTCCTTTACTTCACTATATCAGAATATAGTAATATTAACCATTAAGTATAAAATTGAACTTCATTTTAAATGAAACACACATATGAATATGACAAAATTCATAAACTATATTTGTTGTTTACAGAGTTGATTATGACAAGTGGAGAAGTAGGAAAAATAGCTGGAAATAATGCTTAAAAGTATGTAAGAATTTGTAAAAAAGAAACAAATTTGGACAATAAAAATAAACACTAACTAATGCTAGGGACTGAATTATGTCCCCCTAAACTCAAATGATGAAGCCCCAGCCCCCAGTGTAGTGGTATTTAGAGTTAAGGTCTTTGGGAAATATACAGGATTAGATAAGATTGTGAGGGTGAAGCCCTAGCCCCCAATGCAATGGCATTTGGAGAAAGGGTCTTTGGGAAATATAGAGGATTAGATGAGGTTGTGAGGGTGAAGCCCTAGCTCCCAGTGTAATGGCATTTGGAGAAAGGGTCTTTGGGAAATATACAGGATTAGATGAGGTTGTGAGGGTGAAGCCCTCATAATGGTATTAGTGCCCTTATATGGGGGATGCCAGAGAGCTTGCTCCCCACCACCTGCCACATGTGAGGAGAAGGCAGCATCTGCAAGCCAGGAAGGGAGACCTCACTAGACACTGACCATCCCGGCACCCTTACCTTGGACTTCCAGCCTCCAGAACTGTGAGAATACATTTCTGTTGTTAAGCCACCCAGTCTATAATATTTTGTTACAGCACCCTGAGCTGACTAAGATGACTAATATTTTTTGAGCACTTATTCTATTCCATTCACTGTGCCAGATGCCTGACATGCATTTTATCATTTGGTCTCCATGAAAACTCCTTGAGATAGTTACTTTTATTAATCCGTGTTATGGATGATAAAAGCAGAGCCTTAAAAAATGTCTTAGTCCATTTTGTGTTGCTACTACAGAATACCTGAGACTAGATAACTTATAAAGAACCGTGATTTTTTTTTCTCACAGTCCTGGAAGCTTGGAAGTCTCAGATCAAGGCGCCAGCAGGTTTAGACCCTGGTTCCAAGCTGGCACCTTGTTGCTGTGTCTTCTAGAGAGGAGGAACACTGTGATGTCACATGGCAGGAAATAGAAGCAGGAAAGCCTACTCCAGCAAGCCCTTCTTATAGCAGCCTTCATCTATTCATGAGGCAAAGCCTCATGACTGAAACACCTCCTACTGGACCCCACTTTCCAACACTGTATCATTGAAGGTTTATTTTCCAACACATGTTTTCATGCTGCTGATAAAGACATACCTGAGACTGGGTAATTTGTAAAGAGAAAGAGGTTTAATGGACTCACAGTTCCACATGGCTGAGGAGGCCTCACAATTATGGCAGAAGACGAAAGGCATGTCTTACATGGCAGCAGGCAAGAGAGAATGATAACTGAGAGAAAGGGGTTTCCCCTCATAAAACCATCAGATCTTGTGAGACTTATTTACTACTAAGAGAACAGTATGAGGGAAACTGCCCCCATGATTCAATTATCTCCCATCAGGTCCCTCCCACAACACATGGGAACTATGGGAGCTACAATTCAAGAGGAGATTTGGGTGGGGACACAGCCCAACAATATCAACATGAATTTTAGAGGAAACATTCAGATTATAGTAAAAGGCAAATTAACGTTTCCTAATTTAGATAGCTAGTAAATACCTGCCCAGAATTCAAACACAGATCAGTCTAAAGCAAAATGCAGACACATAACTGCTACTATTTATGCCACTGATTTACAAAAATAAGTTGTAAAATAAATTTAGTTACTAATTACCAGCATTTTTTTAAAAAAGAAATCGACCAGGATATAATTGAAATTATACAAATATATTACAAAAAAAGAAAATGTCATTTTATTAAACTTTTATTTCAGAAGACAGATAGTCAGATGAGTGGGTGAGTGGGTGGATGGATGGATGGGAGAATGGATGGATGGATAGATAGATAGATAGATAGATGCAACCACACAGGTAGAGGCCATGTAAATGCATTTCTGCTGTAGAAATGCTATGTCCCAAAAATTAGTAGATGGAAAAATAACGGGGGCTGGATCACCAACCAATGGGCATTAACCTATTAGATTGTTGTGAGAATTGAATTAAATAGTAGATAACACCCAGGATATAGTGAGTGTTCAGTAAAGATACAATTATTTTTGTCACAAAAATTTTAGCATCTTCACTCTACCATCCAAAAAAAGCTAAGGCTGCCTGCATGTTAGACTTTTACAAGACTTGGGGGTCTCTCAATATTATCTACTCTAGTAGTTTCTAAGATTTTACTCCACTGTATAAACCAGATATAAGCAGCCTAGATGAAGTGAGGCAAGAGTCTTGTCTCTGAGCTTAGCCTGCCCTTTATGATCATTCAACCATCAGTCCCAAGTTCACTTAGGAAGTCGTTGCTGACTACCCCATCCACCGTTTGACTTACCACCCTGTTTGAGTCACTACTTGATAGTCTCTCCTTCTCTCTCTTTTTATTTTTTTTCAGTCTTTCCCCCCTTCTATCAAGAGCAAATATTAGGTCTATGAAAGCAGGATTTAGTATCTCTTGCTCATCAGCTTGAAATATGCCGGAAACACAGGAGACAATCAAAATATTTGTTAATTACTTATAGACAAGGTCAAATCAGTGGAATTTACTTTGATGCCCATCCAATCTTCCTTTACATCTTCTAGCCCTTGCTCGGGATCATTAGAACCGTCACCAAGAGATAACCAATATTATTGTGAGGTGCATTCAATTTCTTCACTTAGAAACAGCCTTGCTCCCCTCCTCTTACCTTTGCAACCTGGTTTTAAAAAGCCTCTAACCCTTGAATGGGATATGCATTTGAGTGGAATGTGCTGGAATGTTCAAGGCTGGCAGGTGCAGGATAAAGAGGAGAAAAGATTATTCAGATAATCACCTTTAACCCTTAGGAGTCTGGCTTCAGTTGACCAGGGCACAAGCTGCCACCCAGCTCAGAGCAATAACACCTCTTTGAAGAGAAATGTCACAAACCTTTTACACAGACAAGCGATGTTTAATGTTTCAGTTTCTTCCTCTTGTGAAAGGATGACCTCAATCTCCTTTGTCCCTCATTCTCAAATCCTTCGTTGGTAATGCGACAACCTCCCTCACTTCCGTTCCAGGTTGGCATCGTCACGCGAAGCTCTGCACTGAGGATCACTCCTTCCTGGGCTGTGTTTAGCCCGAGCTGAAATGTTTGCTATCATTTAGATGAGACCCTACCACTTTGTTCTATGGATCCCTGGAACATTGTGATTATCATAATGGGTGCAATTCTAAGGTAAGCAAATAACTTCTCAGAAAGCATACTTCACGCCCCCAAGGAGCAGAAACCCTTCTAAGGAAACAGGAGCTCGTTAACTAACCTAAATGAGAACATATGCATAATGGCACCTGAAATTGCCCTTTCAGGTGGCAAAGTACAAACCCTGAATTCCAGAAGAATCTATGCAACAATATACCAGCCTCCCTGTCAAATTCAAACCATATACAACATGAAATACATTGAGAACACAGTAACTGTGGCCCTTTATATAGATACCATATGTCAAGCGCGTCCGTGTGAAGAGACCACCAAAACAGGCTTTGTGTGAGTAACAAGGATGTTTATTCACTTGGGTGCAAATGGGCTGAGTCCAAACAGAGAGTCAGCGACGGGAGATGGGGAAGGGGTTGCTTTATAGGAGTTGGGTAGGTAATGGAAAATTACAGTAAAAGGTGGTTATCTATTGTTAGCAGAGGAGGGGGTTACAAGGTACATAGTGGGGAGATCATAAGACTCATTGTCCAGAAGAGGAATGTCACAAAGTCGATTGATCAGCTAAGGTAGGGCAGGGACAAGTCAAAATGGTAAAATGTTGTAATTTTGGTTAATCAGGTAAGGCAGGAACTGGCTGTTTTACTTCTTTGGGGTTTTTTCGCTGCTCCAGACTTCTTGGCTCCTGCAGGCCACCTGGATGTGTATGTGCAGGTCACAGGGGTTATAATGGCTGAGCTTTGGCTCAGAGGCCTGACACCATAGGTATACGACACAACACAATTTTTTTTTTTAGAGTGAGATTATAGTGATATTTATTTTTATTATTATACTTTAAGTTTTAGGGTACATGTGCACAATGTGCAGGTTTGTTACATATGTATACATGTGCCATGTTTGTGTGCTGCACCCATTAACTCGTCATTTAACATTAGGTATATCTCCTAATGCTATCCTTCCCCCCCACCCCCACCCAACAACAGGCCGCTGTGTGTGATGTTCCCCTTCCTGTGTCCATGTGTTGTCATTGTTCAATTCCCACCTATGAGTGAGAACATGTGGTGTTTGGTTTTTTGTCCTCGCGATAGTTTGCTGAGAATGATGGTTTCCAGCTTCATCCATGTCCCTGCAAAGGACATGAACTCATCCTTTTTTATGGCTGCATAGTATTCCATGGTGTATATGTGCCACATTTTCTTAATCCAGTCTATCATTGTTGGACATTTGGGTTGGTTCAAAGTCTTTGCTGTTGTGAATAGTGCCACAATAAACATATGTGTGCATGTGTCTTTATAGCAGCATGTTTTATAATCCTTTGGGTATATACCCAGTAAAGGGGTGGCTGGGTCAAATGGTATTTCTAGTTCTAGATCCCTGAGGAATCACCATACGGACTTCCACAATGGTTGAACTAGTTCACCGTCCCACCAACAGTGTAAAAGTGTTCCTCTTTCTCCACATCCTCTCCAGCACCTGTTGTTTCCTGACTTTTTAATGATCACCATTCTAACTGGTGTGAGATGGTATCTCATTGTGGTTTTGATTTGCATTTCTCTGATGGCCAGTGATGGTGAGCATTTTTTCATGTGTCTTTTGGCTGCATAAATGTCTTCTTTTGAGAAGTGTCTGTTCATATCCTTTGCCCACTTTTTGATGGGGTTGTTTTATTCTTGTAAATTTGTTTGAGTTCATTGTAGATTCTGGATATTAGCCCTTTGTCAGATGAGTAGATTGCAAAAATTTTCTCCCATTTTGTAGGTTGCCTGTTCACTTTGATGGTAGTTTCTTTTGCTGTGCAGAAGGTGTTTAGTTTAATTAGATCCCATTTGTCAATTTTGGCTTTTGTTGCCATTGCTTTTGGTGTTTTAGACATGAAGTCCTTGCCCATGACTATGTCCTGAATGGTACTGCCTAGGTTTTCTTCTAGGGTTTTTATGGTTTTAGGTCTCAAGCTACCAATGACTTTCTTCACAGAATTGGAAAAAACTAGTTTAAAGTTCATATGGAACCAAAAAAGAGCCTGCATTGCCAAGTCCATCCTCAGCCAAAAGAACAAAACTGGAGGCATCACGCTACCTGACTTCAAACTATACTACAAGGCTACAGTAACCAAAACAGCATGGTACTGCTACCAAAACAGATATAGACCAATGGAAAAGAACAGAACCCTCAGAAATAATGCCACATATCTACAACTATCTGATCTTTGACAAACCTGACAAAAACAAGAAATGGGGAAAGGATTCCCTATTTCATAAATGGTGCTGGGAAAACTGGCTAGCCCTATGTAGAAAGCTGAAACTGGATCCCTTACTTACACCTTATACAAAAATTAATTCAAGATGGATTAAAGACAACACAAATTTTTGAATTCTGTTTAGATTTTCAAAAGCTGGGGCAAATTTCATTCTAGGAGTCAGCTTTGATGAAGTTTCTTGATTCTCATCTTTATTTAATTCCCCTCCAATTTTTAACAGGTAACAGTCTAGACTGGAGATACTAGGTTTTAAAGTAAATAGTCAACAGAAGAAGTAAAAGCATCATTTACTGCCTCATAGAATTCTAGTTGGAAAGGGCTTGGGGGAGAAGCTGGTCTATAGGCTTAGCATCTGGGAGGAGGAAAGGGACCCCTGGAGAAGATGAATATGCCACCAGGCGACACAGCTCATCAGAGGCCATGCTCAGACTCAAGCACTGTCTTTTCATTCAAACTGGAGCTGTGCTACTCTTTTCCAGTTTGGTACTTGACACATCCAAATAAAATTTACAACCTCTACCTGGGATAAGAACTCTGCCAGCCTCAGATCTACCTCTTATGGACGGAAAAAAAGAAAGTAAAATTATGCTGAGAGATTTTGTTCTTGGAACCTCTCAAATTCTCTCTCCCAGCAAATCAAAGCTCATACCCTGAGAAGAACGGATCATTGTCCCTGAAGTTGATTAGAAATCTATTGATAATATTTCATCACCTATAGTGCGCCATGGACGTTTTCAGATTCTGGCTCACAGATGTGAAGTAGTTGCATTGTTGTGGATAACGATTCATTTGCTTTAACTCCACCTTTGCCCTTTTTCATTTGTCGGGATTGATTTCCTTTCTCCATATAATTTCACTTGTCACTATTCATGACTTGAGAATTGACCCTCTCCTTTCTGCACCTTCCTTCACAAGCCAACCTCTATTCTCAAAAACAATTGAAATTGAACATTAATAAAATATTATTGAAGATGGCTTTTATGAAAATGCTTGCTTTGGATTATTTTCTTACTAATATAAAGTGCTGTTCTTCAGATATACCCTATAAACGAATACCAAATAGCCACCAGTGCTTAAATAATAAAACAAAGAAATCATCAGGTGTCCATGCCTAGCTCTTCTCATCTCACACATACCCCAGTAGAAAATTCTATTTTTAACTCCCTTTTTTCTTGCAGAAAGATGAAATAAAAAATCAGGGGATCTCTGCCTCTCAGTTTGTAAAGTGATGCCCAAGTTTCAAAAGAGAGAAAGAAATTTAAATCAAACCTTCCACAGGAGCTGCAAGGAAATAGACCTTCTGAACTGCTGGTGAGCTGGAGAGACTCAGCCCTCTCCTCTTAGATAAGGATGGTATCTCCTTGGAGTTGAGTTTGGTCAAGGTAACTGGCAGAGCTCAATGCTTATAAAAATTTCCTTAGTACAAGTACTGCTAGTGAATATTGTTCCAAGCTGATAATGTAAGAACCTGTGACCATCAGGGCACATCCAGAGCAAGAGCAGAGGTTTCTGGGTCCTGCAAGCCCCTACTGTGTGCAAATCGTGACACTAGCTGTGCTCCTCTGTCTATCATGGCCCTTGGGGACAAGGAAAGCTACAGTCAGAGTCACTGCTTTAGCTGTGATAATTCCCTTCTCTTTCTGACTCTATTTCCTTTATCAGGTTACTTTCTCTGGCATATGAGTTCTGAGGTTTTTCTGAAGTAGAAATTCCAGTGACTGTCAAACATTGCCTTCAGGTGCTGAAATACTTAAACAAATTCATTTCTCTTGTTTTGTATGAACATGTGGTGCAACAGAGCAATAGTTACATGGACAGTGCTACAGAGATCTTAATATCTATATGCATTGTAAAATTTACTTTTCAAACTTTAAGTGAGTTAAAGTTAAGTTACTTTTAGGAAACTAACCTATCAGGAAGAGAAAACACTGGCTTGCCAGATCTAAACATCAGATTGAGCACACGTTTGCTGCAATTTGAGTATGTTCTTTAAGCATCTCGTGCCTCCATTTCTTCATTGACAAGGCATCAACTCTCTACGAGAATTAGAGAGAATGAATATGACACATGAGAAAGGTGTTAGACACTGAAGGGAAAGCTGGTGTTCTTTCCAAGAACATGTTTTGAGAATCTGTAGAGAGAAGAGTCAGTGCACAGCTTAGGCTACATAGATCAACGTTGGGTATTGGACCTTTCTGGAATCAGAGAAGAACGGAAGAGCTGGAGCTGGAACCAGAATTAAGGGGCATAGAGGCAGGTTTGGATATCCAAACACTAAAGAATGTCAGACTTTAACAACACATGGCAATTTCCTACCTAGAAAAAAATCTCAAGGAAAAGCATCTAACTCTTCTCCTAGCAGAGTAATTTCCCAAGGAAATGACCAGGTGGATAGAAACACTGGGCAAAATGAGCATCTGTGCTGGGAAACAAGAAACAATGCCAGCAACATACTAGGAATTACCCCGCCCTTCGCCCCCAAATTTGCTGGATGTCATGTAAACATTGAAAACAAAATTGTTAGAAAGGGTCCTCCTCCTGCCCTCATGAGAAAGCAAACCCTTTGGGGCACCACACACTGACCCTCCTTGACATCCCAAAAGCATACCCAGTAGCCCAGCATGAAGGGCTGGGAGGGGCTGGACGTGCTGCTGCGCTGGTGCAGGTGGGAAGCACAGTGCACACCAATCTTAGGCAGATGGAGCCCATGGAGTCGGACCGTTCCAGCCATGCCACAGTGGGGAGGTAGAGTATGAGGTTTCTCTGTGACACGGACAAGACAGCACTGGCGCAGCCACACATTGTGCCTGCCTTAGAGAATCCACCTTTGGATTCATTAGCATGGGGGTTTTTGAAGACTTTCGTAAGAATGCTTTTATTAAAAATAACACCAATATTCTTTTAAATGTAACAAAATAATTTTGAGATAATCTGGAAAAATTGAATCATAGCTTGTGTTGGTCAGGGCATGGAACGTTGGAACTCTTGCTCATCCATAGGAGAAGAACTTTCGTGGAAATTCATTTGACCTAAATACCATCCATAGTCTCTGAACTGGTAAATTGAAATTTAGAAATTTCTCAAAGGAAAGAAAAATATCAGTTCATAAGTATTTACATTCAAGAGACATGTTCACTTTAGTCTGACTTAAATGAGTAAAAAATCAATGAAATATTATCTGTTTTCCTCTCCACCTGTTTGTACTACGTGTACTATTTTACCCTTCTGAAATGCCTCTGTATCTTCTCTTCCTTATCTCACTTGGGTTTCTTTTAGACTCAGCTTGTGACTTACCTCTTCAAGGAAGCCTTTTCTGATATCCCAGGCTAGATAAGATGTTCCTCCTCTGTACTCCCACAGATCCCCACGTACTTTTTTTTTTTTTATCATGGAGCTTATCACATTGCATTAAATCTGTTTGGGTGACTCTCTTCTATATCAAACCAGCTAACCTCAAGGTCCCAACGCACTCAAAAATTGTTTTTAATTGAGCTGAGCTGTTTAACTGAACAGGGATTATAGAAGAGACAGTGCGGCAGAGGCCAACTGAGTTTGTGGTGGTAGAACATCCAGGTAGAGTCTTTCAAAAGAACTGTTTGGAAAATTGTTTTTAATTGAACTGAACTGTTTAACTGAACAGGGATTATAAAAGAGACAGTGTGGCAGAGGTCAACTGAATTTGTGGTGGTAGAATATCCTGGTAGAGTCTTTCAAAAGAACTGTTTGGAAAATTGTTTTTAATTGAACTGAACTGTTTAACTGAACAGGGATTATAAAAGAGACAGTGTGGCAGAGGTCAACTGAATTTGTGGTGGTAGAATATCCAGGTAGAGTCTTCCAGAAGAACTGTTTGGAAAATTGGCAAGTGGGAATTCACACTTTGGGATCAGGAGAGAGGCCAGGACAAGAGAGATTATATGTGAATTCTATTTATTTAGAAGTAACACTTTAAAATCTAAATGACAATATCAAGGGAAAGAACACAGAAAATGGAAAAAGAAGGGAGAATAAAGAAGCTTCAGACACAGAAAGTGCAATGTCACCAACACCAAATCACAGGACATTTCAAACAGGGGTGATCCATGTAAGAGCTTTTGTAGCTGTTGTCTATGTCTGAGCATGGGTTATCAACCTGAAGCAGTGTCATCCCCAGTAAAACATTTGGCGATGTCTGAAGATATTTTTTGTTTGTCATGATTTGGGGAGTGAGGATGGTGGTTGGGAGAAAACTCCTCTGGGATCCAGTGGGCAGAAGCCAGGGATACTGCCTGTATTTGTCTTCTGGGCTACAGTAACACCATACCACAGACAGGGGGCTTATACAAAAGAAATTTATCTTCTCACAGTTCTGGAGGCTGTAAGTCCAAAGGCCATGCAAAGATGGGGTATGCTTTCTCCTGAGGCCTCTTTTGTTAGCTTACAGATGGCAGCCTTCCCTCTATGTCTTCACATGGCCTTTTCTCTGTGCATGCATGCCCCGGTGTCTTTCTTGTGTATCCCAATCTCCTCTTTTTACATGGACACCAGTCAGAATGGATTAGAGCCCACCCTCATTTTATCTGAATTACTTCTTTAAAGGCTCCATCCTAAAAGGCTTTGTCTGCAAAATCTCTATCTGAAGTACTGGGGATTAGGTTTTAAAATATGAATTTGAAGGGAACCGGTTCAGTCTTTACTCTCTGGACCTCCAAAATCAATCTGTGTCCCTCTCACTAGCAAAATATATTCAGCACCCCATCTCAACAGCCTCAAAGTCTTAACTCATTCCAGCACCAACTCTAAGTCCTAAATCTCATTTAAATCGCCTCTAAATCAAATGCAGGTGAGACTCGAGGTATGATTGATCCTAGGGAAAAAGTTGCAACAGCTGTGAAACCAGACAAGTGAGTTATATACTCTCCTTGTGAGACAGGCATAAGTTGGGCATTCCATTCCAAAAGAAGAACTCAGAGACAAGAAAGAGGTCAGGGATCCCTACAAAGTTCAAAACCTAGGGGAGCAAAATCCATTAGATTGAAAGCCTAAGAATTATCCTCTTTGGCTTGATGATCTGTTCTCCACAATCACTAGGGCAGAAGACACATCCCCAGACTCTGAGACCAGCATCACTCCCACAGACCTGGGCAGTAGCTTGGCCCCTGAGGCCCTGGGGGCAGCCTGCTCTGCTAAAGCCAAAAAGGAGGCAGTCTTGGCACCCACATCTCAGTGCCAAATTCTATTATTTTTCAGGGTTCTCCAGTGAAAAGAAATTAATCCAGCTTCATGACCTAATCACCCCTTAAAGGCGCCACCTCTCAAAAGTGCCACACTGGGGACAAAGCCTCAACATGAACTTTGATGGGGACAAATCATATTATTGTCCTTTGACCAAGACTGGGTGAGTTCTCATGGGAGTGGGCTGGTTCCCGTGACAGTGGGTTGCTATAATGTGAGGTTACCTCTCCTGGTTAGCCTTTTACAGATGCCTGCTTCCCCTTTCTCTTCTCTGTCATGTGTTGATGCAGAGGAGGCCCTCACCAGAAGCCACCAAATGCAGTTGTCAAATCTTGAACTTCCCAACCTGCAGAACCCTGAGATAAATGAACCCCTTTCCTTTTTAAATTACCCAGTCTCAGGTGTTCTGTTATAGCAACACAAAGTGGACCAAGACTCTTGGCAAGTCCAAAGTCTGATGGAGTGGGCAGGGAGGCTGGAAACTCAGGAAACAGTTGCAGTCCAAGTCCAATGGAAACCTTCCGGAATAATTTATTCCTGCTTGGGGATGGCCAGTCTTTGTCTTGTGAAGGCCTTCAACTGATTGGATGATGTTCACCCACATTATCGAGGGTACCCACTTTACTCAAAGTCCACTGATTTAGATAATAATCTCATCAACACACACATACACACACACACACACACACTCTCTCTCTCTCTCTCTCTCTCTGAAAGAAACATTCAAAATAATGTTTGACAAAACAGTTTGGCACTGAGGCTCACCCAAGTTGACACATAAAATTAATCTTTACACTGACTTATCCTATAATGCTCAAGACAGTCCCCCAAAATAAAGAATTATCTGGTTCAAAAAGTCAATACTGCTAAAGTTGAGAAAGCCTAGCCTAGAATGATAAAGAGGGTATGAGAATGGGCATTATATAAACAAGAGAGCCTAGGGTGGAACAAAGTAGAATCTAGATGTTTTGAAGGCTAAAGAGGGTATGAGAATGGGCATTATATAAACAAGAGAGCCTAGGGTGGAACAAAGTAGAATCTAGATGTTTTGAAGGCTAAAGAGGGTATCAGAATGGCATTATATAAACAAGAGAGCCTAGGGTGGAACAAAGTAGAATCTAGATGTTTTGAAGGCTAAAGAGGGTATCAGAATGGCATTATATAAACAAGAGAGCCTAGGGTGGAACAAAGTAGAATCTAGATGTTTTGAAGGCTAAAGAGGGTATCAGAATGGCATTATATAAACAAGAGAGCCTAGGGTGGAACAAAATAGAATCTAGATGTTTTGAAGGCTAAAGAGGGTATCAGAATGGCATTATATAAACAAGAGAGGCTAGGGTGGAACAAAGTAGAATCTAGATGTTTTGAAGGCTAAAGAGGGTATCAGAATGGCATTATATAAACAAGAGAGCCTAGGGTGGAACAAAATAGAATCTAGATGTTTTGAAGGCACGATTATTGGTATAATCATTTTTCAGGTCACTTGCACATAAATCTCAATAGAAATGGTCACAAAGCAGTGGGTGCTGACTGACAATACATGGGCTCTAGGAGTGAAGCAATGAGAGGAGAAACATCACTAGTAAGAGTTTTATTTGCTTTTACAATATTCTGTGAGAGAATTTTTTCCCCTTTGGCCATGGGTTTAGCATGTACATTTCAAAGGTGTCTGTTAAAATGACAGAGTTGGCTTATTTTTTCTCTATTAGCCAAAGACACATTATAGTGGTTGTTTTTTGAAATTTATCAACCTGAGCTTGTATTTTTACTTTAAAGATAAATGAGGAACTTTTAATTTGGTAATAAGGGTACTGCTCAAATATACCTAGGCAAAAAACAGTTGTTCTATGGATTTAAGAATGAATACTATCACAAATAATAAATCAAGGAGACTAACTCTTAAATAAGATACAGTTTGCATTTTCTCGCCTAAGAAAGCATTTTTTAAAATTAGTACAAGCCTAAGTCTTGGTGTTATTTGTTTGCTCTCGTTCATAATAGGATTGCTTTATAATTATTTAGTTTTTTAAAGTGTGTCTATTATTCTAAAAACTTATAGTCCTGAGTGTCTTAATTTTTTCTAGAAAAATTTGCAATAGCTATTTCTGGCCATTGTTAGTAGGTTCAAACTGATTATGTAACTAAAGTGCTTCCACCATGAAAAAAGTGGTACATTACATTTTCTATAGAGTCTTTCATAATTCATCCCGATCAAAGCAGTGAGCTGAACTGAGACCATAAACAGCTCACAAATGTTTCACAACATAATCAATGAAGTACCAATGATATCTCAAAAATAGCTGCAAGGTTATCTGTAGTGCTTTATAGTTACAAATATGCTGTCAAAATTAGATTTTCTTTCCTTTTCCTGAGTTTAGTAAGCACTTTTGTTTCTAGTCATTTAACCAACTCCTTTAGTTCTGGAGTTCTATAAAGTTCACTCACAGAGGAATTGAACCATTGATGGGGGACTGACTGCTGGCTATACCTTCCTAAATATCATCTCTTTGCTAATCACCTCCTTACTAAATACTATAACAATCCTCAGATGCATATGCTTAAGGACAAATCTTAATTTGCAGGACATTCTTCCCGCTGGTTGGTAATGCCCAAGTGGTCCTTCTTTAGGCTGAGCAGTGTTAGATGTTCATGATTACCATTTCCACTCTTTTGTTGCTGTGGTTAAAATAAAAATAAAAATAAACGTATATAAGGTGTTTTGCTTTCTTTGAGTCAAATAATTTTGGTTCAAATAAAGAAGACATAAGAAAAGCTAACGATTTACATCAGTGATTAAACCCTTAGATGAACTTGTAATTAAGCTTAGAAATGAGGTAAATTTAGAATTAGGGAAGCAATAATAGTGTAACTTTATATTGGACTAAAGTTAAGTGATATTTTATATAAATGTAACTGATAGAACTGGTTAAGACTACTCACCTTAATCAACTATAAATCAGAGAAAGCATACCCTAGCTATGGAACATAATGCAATCAAATGTATAGATTCATTGTTTCAAACTTGGATTTGCCATGCAGATGTTTTTCATTAGAAAGGTTTCTGAGATGATTTGGCTTTGTGTCCCCACCCAAATCTCATCTCAAATTGTAATCCCTGTAATGCCCACATATTGAGGGAGGGACCAGGGGGAGCATAGGGGCAGTTCCCGCATGCTGTTCTCATGATAGTGAGTGAGTACTCATGAGATTTGATGGTGTTATAAGTGTTTGACAGTTTCTCCTTCACACACACTCTTTCTCTCTCTCTGTCTCCTGTTGCCTTGTGAAGGAGGTGCCTGCTTCCACTTCTGCCATAACTATGTTTCCTGAGGCCTTCCCAGCCATGCAGAACTGTGAGTCAATTAAACCTCCTTTGTTTATAAATTACCCAGTCTGGGGTAGTATCTGTATAGCAGTGTTAAAATCAACTAATACAATAAATTGGTACCAAGGTAGTAGGGCACTGCTATAAAGATACTTGAAAATGTGGGTGCAGCTTTGGAACTGGATAACACCCAGAGATTGGAACAGTTTGGAGGGCTCAGAAGAAGACATGAAAATGTGGAAAAGTTTGGAACTTCCTAGAGACTTGTTGAATGGTTTTGACCAAAATTCTAATAATGATGTGAACAATGAAGTCCAGGCTGAAGTGGTCTCAGATGGAGATGAGGAACTTCTTGGGAATCAGAGAAAAGGTCACTCTTGCTATGCTTTAGCAAAGAGACTGGTGGCATTTTGCCCCTGTGCTAGAGATCTGTGGAACTTTGAACTTAGAGAGACAATCTGAAATTGGAACTTATGTTTAAGAGGGAAGGAGAGCATCAAAGTTCGAAAAATTTGCAGCATGACGATGTGGTAGAAAATAAAAACCCTTTGTCAGATGAGTAGGTTGCGAAAATTTTCTCCCATTTTGTAGGTTGCCTGTTCACTCTGATGGTAGTTTCTTTTGCTGTGCAGAAGCTCTTTAGTTTAATTAGATCCCATTTGTCAATTTTGTCTTTTGTTGCCATTGCTTTTGGTGTTTTGGACATGAAGTCCTTACCCATGCCTATGTCCTGAATGGTAATGCCTAGGTTTTCTTCTAGGGTTTTTATGGTTTTAGGCCTAACGTTTAAGTCTTTAATCCATCTTGAATTAATTTTTGTATAAGGTGTAAGGAAGGGATCCAGTTTCAGCTTTCTACATATGGCTAGCCAGTTTTCCCAGCACCATTTATTAAATAGGGAATCCTTTCCCCATTGCTTGTTTTTGTCAGGTTTGTCAAAGATCAGATAGTTGTAGATATGCGGCATTATTTCTGAGGGCTCTGTTCTGTTCCATTGATCTATATCTCTGTTTTGGTACCAGTACCATACTGTTTTGGTTACTGTAGCCTTGTACTATAGTTTGAAGTCAGGTAGCATGATGCCTCCAGCTTTGTTCTTTTGGCTTAGGATTGCCTTGGCAATGTGGGCTCTTTTTTGGTTCCATATGAACTTTAAAGTAGTTTTTTCCAATTCTGTGAAGAAAGTAATTGGTAGCTTTATGGGGATGGCATTGAATCTGTAAATTACCTCAGGGATCTAGAACTAGAAATACCATTTGACCCAGCCATCCCATTACTGGGTATATACCCAAAGGACTATAAATCATGCTGCTATAAAGACACATGCACACGTATGTTTATTGCGGCATTATTCACAATAGCAAAGACTTGGAACCAACCCAAATGTCCAACAATGATAGACTGGATTAAGAAAATGTGGCACATATACACCATGGAATACTATGCAGCCATAAAAAATGATGAGTTCATGTCCTTTGTAGGGACATGGATGAAATTGGAAATCATCATTCTTAGTAAACTATCGCAAGGACAAAAAACCAAACACCGCATATTCTCACTCATAGGTGGGAATTGAACAATGAGATCACATGGACACAGGAAGGGGAATATCACACTCTGGGGACTGTGGTGGGGTGGGGGGAGGGGGGAGGGATAGCATTGGGAGATATGCCTAATGCTAGATGACGATTTAGTGGGTGCAGCACACCAGCATGGCATATGTATACATATGTAACTAACCTGCACAATGTGCACATGTACCCTAAAACTTAAAGTATAATAAAAAAAAAAAGAAAAGAAAAACCCATTTTTCTGGGGAGAAATTCAAGCTGGCTGCAGAAATTTGCATAAGTAAAAAGGAGCCCAATGTTAATCACCAAAACAATGGGGAAAATGTCTCCAGGGTATGTCAGAGATACCAGTGGCAGCTGCTCCCATCACAGACCTGGAGGAGCAGGAGGAAAAAATGGTTTTGTGGGCCAGGCCCAGGGCCCCGCAACTGGGTGCAGCCTCAGGACTTGGTCCCCTGTGTCTCAGCCTCTCCAGCTGCAGCTGTGGCTAAAAGGGGCCAAGGTATAGCTCAGGTCATTGCTTCAGAGGGTGCAAACCCCAAGCCTTGGTGGCTTCCATGAGGTGTTCAGCCTGCAGGTGCACAGAAGTTAAGAATAAACATTTGGGAACCTCTGCTTAGATTTCAGAGGATATATGGAAATGCCTGGATGTCCAGGCAGGAGTCAACTGCAAGGGTGGAGGCCTCACAGAGAACCTCTGCTAGGGCAGTGCAGAAGAGAAATGTGGGGTTAGAGTCTCACACAGAGTCCCCACTGGGGCACTGCATAGTGAGGCTGTGAGAAAAGGGCCACCATCCTCCAGACCCCAGAATGGTAGATCTACTGACAGCTTGCACCATGCACCAGGAAAAGCTGCAGGCACTCAACGCCAGCCCAAGAAGGAGCTGCCCAAGGCTGTGGGAGCCTACCCCTTGCATCAACATGCCCTGGATGTAAGACATACAGTCGCCCCTTTGTTTTGGCCAATTTCTTTCATTTGGAGTGGGAGCATTTATCTAATGCATGTACCCACCATGTATCTTCAAAGTAACTAACTTGCTTTTGATTTTACAGGCTTTTGAGCAGAAAAGATGTGCCTTGTCTCAGATGAGACTTTGGACTTGGACTTTTGGGGTTAATGCTAGAATAAGTTAAGACTTTGAGGGACTCTTGGGAAGTCATGATTGGTTTTGAAATGTGAGATGGATATGAGATTTGGGAGAAGCCAGGGGTGGAATGATATGGTTTGGCTCTGTGTCCCCACTCAAATCTCATCTCAAATTGCAATCTCCATAAACCTTTTGAAGGTTTGAAGGAGAGACCTGGTGGGAGGTGACTGGATCATGGGGGCAGTTTCCCACATGCTGATCTTGTGATAGTGAGTGAGTTCTTATGAGATCCGATGGTTTCATAAGTGTTTAGCAGTTCGTCCTTCACACACACTCTCTTTTTCTCCTGCTGCCTTGTGAAAAAGGTGCCTGCTTCTCCTTCCACCATGATTGTAAGGGTCTATGAGTTATTTAAACCTTCTTTTTAAAATAAATTAGCCAGTCTCAGGCAGCATGTTTATAGCAGTGTGAAAATGGACTAATATGGTTTTTTCTAGGAAAATTTATTTTCATTTGTAAAATATTTAATGAAATAGTAGTCAACTTATTCAAAGAAATATTGTTTCACTCATTACAAAGTAGTGGTAAAATATGTACATTTCTTTGAACTAAATTGTACTTCTTAAAAACTTTGTTATTTTGGAATAATTTTATATTTATAGAAAAGTTGCAAAGATAGTACAGAGAATCCCTGTCCACCCCTGTTAAAATAATTAAGTGGTACACCATTAGGTTAGAGTGGCTCTAGTGCCCTGTGTTCCCACATAAACAAAGTGGAACTTGAGCTGGCAATCATAGGCCACCAGCTGTGCATTTTCCAACTTCAACCAATAAGCAGTTCCTTTGCTCTGTTTCCACATTCACCCTATAAATCCCCACAGCCCCTTTGGGGAAGCCCTTCAGAGCTTGTAGTTTGGTGCTGCCTGGTTAATGAATCCCTGTTTGCTCAAATAAATTCTATCTTTTAACAGCCCTTCCTAGTTTCCCTTATTACTAACATTTCACATCACTATGGCACATTGATCAAGACAGAAAATGATACTGGTATCTCTTTTACTTTCCTAGGGCTGCTATAACAAATTGCCGTAAACTCGAGAGCTTCTAACAACAGAAATGTATTCTCTCACAGTTCTGGGGTCCAGAAGTCCAAGACCCATATGTGGCAGGGCTGCCCTCCCTCCCTATGGCGGCTTTAGGGGACATTTTGTTCCTTGTCTCTTCCGGCTTCTGGTGGCTGCTGGAGTTTCTTGGTTTGTGGCTCCAATCTCCAGTCTCTACCTTCGTGACCACATTGCCTCCTCCTCTTCTCTTCTGGGAAGTCACCATTCAACCTACAACCCTGCATTACTATTAACTAAACTTCAGACAGCTTTTCCATGAATCTCCTCTTTCTATTTCAACATCTAATTAGGGCACCACAATGCTGCCCTGTCACCTCTTGTATGTGATGCTTCCCCCACACTTTACCTGTTTTTTATGACCTTGAGAATCTTGAGGTGTACAGGCAAGTTATCCCACAGGAAGACCCCCACCTGGGTTTCTTTGATGTCTTTCTCATGGGATTTGGGGAAGGAATTTCACAGAGATAAAGTGCTTTCCTTGTCACATCAAATTAGGGGCACACGACACCACTGAGGTTGTTCACCTTCATCACTCATTTCATGTGGTTTTGCCAAGTTTTTCCTCTCTAACTCTACTATTTTGCTTTTCTTTCTCTATTCTGTCCCATGGAAACAAGTCACTAAGTTTAGCGTATGGTTGGAGAGGAGGATTAAGCTCCAACTTCTGTAGAGTAAAATGTCTACAGAAATAGTTTGGAATGTTTCTGTAAAATAATGTAACTTCTTCCCCATTCATTTTTTAATCATTTACTATATATCAACAGGAACTTGTGTATATTTATTCTATACTTTCGGTTATATCCCAATACTCTGTTGTTTATTTTACTGCTCAGATGATTCCAGCATTAAGTGGGGAGCTCCTTCAGGTGGGCCTCTGTTTCCCTTTGTCACACTCCCATTCTCTCGGGGAGTTTTTCATGCACTTTTTAACTTCCTGGTTCTACAAAATGCCCCAGGCTTATCTCGTATGCGTGGTTTATGTTTTAAAGCCAAATGAAATATTAAATGCTCAACTCTGATTGTGCTTGTCTGAAATGAGGAATGGCACTTACTGACACCTTCTGTGACTTTGTGAGTAAAAACAAGGGCACAGTTTCATAAAGTAATGATTAAGCAAACAGCCAGGTGAAGGAGTTATGTGAGAGACATAACTGCTTTTCTTACAACTAAAATGTCTGTGCTTTGGGCAGAAGGCAGGGCTGTAACACTGAATTCTAATAACAGAGTTAACAACCTTTAGCTCTAGCACAGGCTCACCTGAGATGATCAATTCCCTGTTGGTACAAGCCTCTCCTGGCTGTCGACTCAGAACTCCTCATTCACCTACATTTAACCTCTGTCAGTGGTTGTAAATGTACAGACAATGCTCTCTCATAAAATCACCAATTCAATGATAAGTGTTTTCATAGAACAATTTTGGCTCTTGAAACACAAAAAAATTTTACAGTGTAGATGTGGGTCACTTACCCCAGAAATGAACTGGAACCAAATTGCCCATGGAAGCTGCACATACACACTTGGAATAATCAGCACTACCCAAGATTCTAACTTGTGTATTTGTTTATATTTTCTCTAACAGAGAGAGGCTAAGAGAAATTTCCTTGATTGTAGTTGGACTTCTCAGGAGGAAGGCTGTATCTTTCTAATACTGCTTGGTCACCAGCACACAAAAACACATTAGCATTAAGGTATTATATAGCAATAAGGATAACTTCTGTAACATACGACATTTCACTATTTTCAACATACATGCACGTGCACACACACACACACACACATACACACAGGAAAAGAGTCCTTCCCAATGGGCAAGGAAAGTATTATCAATATATTTTCATTCTGTGGATGAGGAAGCCATGATATAGATAGGAATGAGGAAGCCATGCTATGGACATGGATGAGGAAGCCATGCTATGGACATGGATGAGGAAGCCATGATATGGATATGGATGAGGAAGTCATGATATGGATATGGATGAGGAAGCCATGATATGGATATGGATGAAGAAGCCATGCTATGGATATGGATGAGGAAGCCATGCTATGGATATGGATGAGGAAGCCATGATATGGATATGGATGAAGAAGCCATGCTATGGATATGGATGAGGAAGCCATGATATGCACATGGATGAGGAAGCCATGATATGCACATGGATGAGGAAGCCATGATATGCACATGCATGAGGAAGCCATGCTATGGACATGGATGAGGAAGCCACGATATGGATATGGATGAGGAAGCCATGATATGGATATGGATGAGGAAGCCATGCTACGGACATGGATGAGGAAGCCATGATATGGATATGGATGAGGAGGCCATGATATGGATATGGATGAGGAGGCCATGATATGGATATGGATGAGGAAGCCATGCTATAGACATGGATGAGGAAGCCATGATATGGATATGGATGAGGAGGCCATCTCTTACTCTATGACTGGGTAAGACAGATGAAATTTCCTGGCACAGTAATCACTGTTACTTAATTACAGAGCACACAAATTCAGGAGGATTCAGGAATGTTTTCTAAAATCCCTTTGTACTGACAAACTATGTGCAGAATATCAAAATATGCAGTATATCTAAAATGTTCTTTAATGTTTTTATAAAACACAATGAGTTTAATCCCAATTAGAAATCCAAAAATCAGCTATTGAATAGTCAATCTGTCTCAAAACTCAAACTGAACCTATATGACCCAACATGTTTACAGTCTGATTAATGAGGCAGTTTTCCAAAATTTAGTCTGGCAACAAAAAATTTTCTAAATCCTTGAAATGTAATTTCAAGGAAATTATGTGCATATTAAAGTCAAGCTGGAAAAATGTGTGGGTTACTTACTCTAGAGCAAGGAGTCATTTCCATAAAATGTTTCAGCAGGATGTGCACTGTAAAATATAAATGGAGAGGAATGACCGGATGTGCTCTTTTGTCTTTCAGCATCAACATTTTTAAAAATACTGTATTTTGCCTTGTTATTTTCACAAAAGCATTTAGCAACCTTTCAGATTTTCAACATTACATTTTGACAAGACAAAGAGAAGAGTAATCTGTGGGCGGCACCCTGAAATAATAACCAGAGGAGTATTATAGGAAAGAACATCGTGTCAGCTGCTAGAACTTCACCGACTACACTTCTCTGGGAATCAGAATGAACGTCTTCATGACTACTTATGATATAGAACGATTTTACTTTTGAAATCCAGATGAGTCACTAATTCTAAAGGGTACAGCATCCCAAGCTCTGCAGCCACCATTTTAAGAGTAAAGGAAGGAGAACATTAAGCAGCCAACTTATTTAAGGTTTTTTTTCTCTGCTTGTCTCATTAGTCTTCTTTTATTCTTCCCGTTGAGACAAATATGATCTAAAATCATCAAATATAAAATATGAGTAACTCTCTCTGAAGAATTAATCTAATGTATTTGGATGTTTGGTTTTTAAAATGCAGTTAAGAAATTACATCCCCTAAACTGTTAATTAATGCTAAAGCTGGCAATTATTCTGTTTATTTGCAGCATCAGTCTTGGTGAATGCTCACTTTTCTTTAGGTTTTCAGGTTGTGAAAGCAATAGCATATAAAGTGACCTTCTTTCTTTCACTTCTGCCACTGACATGGACTAAATGTTAGTATGGCACATCCTTCCGCCTCCTGCTCTTTCCCACCTACTTACGTCTTTATATTAAAGTGGAAGGCAAGTAGAGGACATAGAATCCGGTCTTGTTTCGTACTCACTCTGATATCCTTTCTTTTAATTGGCATATTTAGACCATTCATGTTTAATGAGATTATTGATAAAATTGGATTAATATTTACCATGTTTGAAGCTGTTTTTCATTTTTTGAATTTATTCCTTGTTTCTTTGAGTTTCCCCTCTTTTTCTTTCTTCTCTTGTTTATATGATTTTATTTTATCTGCTATTTGACCATATTATTATATTTTTTAAGACAAATCTTAGTGGCTTCTTGAAAGTATGTAACACACAGTTTTAAATAATTTAAGTCTATCTGCAATAGCACTATCCTACTTCACATGTACTGTGAATTTGTGGAGCAGGTTCACCGTGCACTGGTTAGCAACTTGTCTGAGTGCAGTGAGACAGAGCACGCTCAGGGGCAACAAGTCAAGACTGAGAATTATCACATACAACAGAAATGTAGGATTCATCATGAGCTAGTCCCTCAAAGCTCAGGAAAGCTGCATAGAGCAGATGGAGCCTTGTCTGTGTGTGACCCACTTACCATGCAGCTGAGGAATCCTGGAAATAAGGCTGCCCTGGGATTTACACCCCAAGAGTCACATGAAGTGCTGGGCTGAAGTGTTGAAGAACATTCTATTTGTGGGGAGGAGGGACTGTTCCAGCCATCCTCTCCTTATACCAGGATGTTGCATTTCTGTAGTTATAGAACGACGTTCTACAGTTGTTCTCAAGAACTATAAGTGAGAAAGGGAAGTTAACTGGGTCAGTCCAAGACTGCCTGGAGAACTGTCCTACACAAGTAACAGAGTATTTCCAATGGCTCCTTCATATCTCTGTGATAGGTGGCCATGCATTTCACTTATCCACATGCTATAATCACTCAACACGTTGTTACTATTACTGATTTAAATCAAGTTACCTTTTAGATCAGTTAGGAATGAGAAAAGTAAAAGATTGAATTTTACCTTCGTGTTCTCCTTTCCAGCACTCTTCCTTTCTTCATGCAGATCCAAGTATCTGACCAATATTATTTTCCTTCTTCCTGAAGAACTTCTTTTCACATTAGTTTCAGGGCAGGTCTTCTGGTCATGAGCACTCCCAGTTTTTGTTTCTCTGAGAAAGTCTTTATTTCTTCTTCACTCTGTAAGAATCATTTCTCTTGTTATAGAATTTTATGTTGGTGTTTCTTCTTCTTTCATTATCCTCTCCCCTCCACAATCCTCTTGCTTGCATGATTCCTGATGAGAAGTCATCTGTAATTCTTATCCTTGCCTTTCTATAGATAAAATGGCCCTTGCCCCCGGTTCTTTCAAGATTTCTTTTTGAAATTGCTTTTCTACTGTTTAAATATGATACCCCTAGAAGTAGGGCTTTGTTTTCCAGTATTTATCTTCTTGATGTTCTCTGAGCTAACCTGATAGGTGGTTTCATGTCTTCCGTACATTTTGGAAAGTGCTTTGCCATCATTACTTCAAATATTTCTTCTGCTCTATTCTCTCTTTTTTGTCTTTTGGTAATCAAGTTAAACGTATGTTTTGCCTTTTGAAATTGTCCCACAGCTGTTGGATGTTCTGGGGTTATTTTTCTCGCTTATTTTCTACTTGCATTTCAGTTTGGAATGTTTCTATTGACATATCTTCAAGCTCATTAGTTTTTTTCCTCAGCTATTTCAATCTACTGTGGAGATCATCAAGGCACTCTTAATTTCTGTTACTGTGGCTTTGATTTCCAACATTTTCTTTTGATTTTTAAAGTCTCCTTCACTCAGCTAACATGTATCTGTTTTGACACGTTATTTGATTTTTTATTAGATTCCTTAAGATATTAATTATAGTTGCTTTACATTTCCTGTTTGCTAATTCCAAAATTCGTCTTTCTGATACTGATTCTAATGCTTGCCTTGTATCTTCAATCTATAATTTTTCTTGGCATTGTCTGTAATATTTGATGAAAGCCAGTAAATAGGTAGAAAGATAGAGATACATAGAAAATAGAGATAGAGGTATATATAAACATACAGATATACATCAATAGGTGTACATCTATATCTATACATATATAAATACCAACACATACATTACATATAAGTATACACATACACACACACAACATGGGAACTTTGGTAAATTGGTCTTCAGTGCGAGGATTTATGTCAATTTGGCAGGTCTTGGACTTTGTTTAGTGTTTGTTGTAGCTATGGATGCCAGAGGTTTCAAATACCTCTGGTGGCCTTGTTTTTGTGTCTTTGGTTGTTTTAGTGTTTCTGTAAGATAAAGCCTGTCTTTCAGCTCTTTCACCTGGAATCAATTGTTAATACACTGGAGTCTGTTGGTGTTGCAGTTAAATGTTGGGGAGAGAAGCACACTGTAGTCTCGTGTGTAAGTATGAGTGTTTTAGTGGCACTTTGTCCCAGGGCTGTGACCTTTATAAGTGTTTCTTAGATTTCCTTCCTCCCTCAATGGTGATAAAAGAAAGCAAGAAGTGGCTGGCTTATAGATATATTCTTGCCCCAGGAGGAATGGGGCCCTGGCAGTCTTTTTTTCCCGGAGAGTAGGCTTTTGTTATAGAGAAGACCCTGGGCATGTTTTATAAAGATTACCTTTCCCTTCCTTCTGCCACAGCACCAGGGGATCTCTCTTGCTTTCCACCTTGAGACCCTGGTGGCATTCCGAGTTCCAACTGGGTTGGGGCAGTGAAAAGGGGGCCCTAACACTAGGGTCTCCAGAAAGTTTTCACTCTCAGAACAGTCTGCATTCAGCCTCCAGCAATTCATCAAAATTACCACCTACATGTCCATGCAGGTTTATGACTCCAACTGCTCCTGCTCTAGGGAGGCTGATCTTGGTCATGATGATCTGCATTCAGCTGCATCTTCAGCTTTGGGCACCAGGCAGCCCTGTGACCTCAGGTCTTCAAGGAGTCTAAGAAAAGTAATTGATTTATAGTTTGTTCAGTTTTTTTCTTATTGTAAGAACAAAGTGTTTGCCTCTAAGCTCTTTATATGTCAGACGGAGATTCTAACAGGAAGTCTGTAAACGTGGCATTAGAATATTTTTACTTGGTAATCTCATTCAGGACAGTTCTGGAAAGGTATCATTTTCTAACTCAGGACAAAAGGCATACAGGGCCAATAGTATATTTGAAGAGCCAGGTGTTCTAGCTTTAGGCAGCTCTACCCTGAAATGATTGAAGACACATATTTGACCATTCTCTTAAATCTAAGGAATTAGATTAATTAATCAATCTTAATAACTAATTTCAGTGAGTAGGAAACTGGACTACTGGCTTATTACATTTTAAATTGAATTATACTTCATATTATACTACAATATATAACACAATTTAAGAAACTCGAGGGCATAGATATCACCTCTACCATATATTTATCTATGTCTATCTATCTATCTATCATCTATCATCTATCTAATCATTCTTTTGAGGGAGAGACAGAGAGACAGAAAGAATGTGTGTGTGTGTGTATGTGTATGTTTGCATGTGTGTGTGTTCCCTGCTTTAGCAATTCCATATCCATTCTCCACCCTCCTCCATCCCTCAGGAAACTGATCAATAGAGAGTAAATTGAAATGCTCCCTTGCCTTCTGGCTTTTGGTTAGATTCACCAAAGGACAAGAACACAGATAGAGAGAAAAGTCTGAGGTTGTAGCCTTAATTCCCTGAGCTTATTTCCTGTGTGCTCCCCTGGGATTAGGTACACCCTCCAACACAAATGGAGAGAAAAGTCTGAGGTTGTAGCCTTAATTCCCTGAGCTTATTTCCTGTGTGCTCCCCTGGGATTAGGTACACCCTCCAACACAAATGGAGAGAAAAGTCTGAGGTTGTAGCCTTAATTCCCTGAGTTTATTTCCTGTGTGTTCCCCAGGGATTAGGTACACCCTCCAACACAAATGGAGAGAAAAGTCTGAGATTGCAGCCTTAATTCCCCGAGTTTATTTCCTGTGTGTTCCCCTGGGATTAGGTACACCCTCCAACACAAATGGAGAGAAAAGTGTGAGGTTGTAGGCTTAATTCCCTGAGCTTATTTCTTGTGTGTTCCCCTGGGATTGGGTACACCCTCCAACAAAGTGCATAGCTCCTCCCTCCTGCTGTCCTTTTCACAGGAGTCTTCCCTTTAGGGATTTCAACTGCCCCTGCTTCCTGCTCAGTCACACGTGAGTTATAAAAGCCCAATTGTTTATGTGCTTGACCCTCTAGACCAATCCCCAGGGTCTAAGGCCAAATATACACAACCCAGGAGATAGGGTGATAGCATCATTCCCAAAGCTGCTTTTCTTTACCCCCACCTGTTTCTGAAGACTAGACTACATTAATGTGTCTAAAAGAGGAAGGAAGAAGGCTGGGTTCTGGCTGCCCTGCAGGCAGCATAGACACAAAGCGGCCATTGCCGGATAATCTAGGGAAGTCGTTGCATTTCTGAGCCCAAACCAGTAGCTCTTGTTTTCAGGAAATAATAAGTTCTATTGTCTTTGTAGTTGCTGGAAATTTCTAACAAATTCTGGTAGTGTTGATTGTCACATTTGCTTTAGGTGGTTGTGAATGTTGTCTTTTGAAAACATCTTAACATATGTTTGACTGAAAAGTTAGGAAAGAATATCAGAGGCCATTTTAAACCCAAGACAGACTATTGAATTAACAATGACTATTAAATAAACCACATACATTTTCCCTCCTAGGAGATGTTGAACACAATATGGAACTTACCTCTTTCTGTACTTTATACTTGAGCTAGGCTGTGTATATATCCCTTGAGCTAGGCTGTGTATATATCCCTTGAGCTAGGCTGTGTATATATCCCTTGAGCTAGGCTGTGTATATATCCCTTGAGCTAGGCTGTGTACATATCCCTGAACTTGCCCAAATTCATGACTTTGTTTTCTCACTTTCCATTAGGATTTTCTTAGCTTCAGTTATATCTGTTGAAATTCTGTACTTTATTCAAGGGTTATCATGGATAGCAACTTCCCTATGAAACATATTCTGATGTTTTCAATCAGATATTTATAGTCTTTCCCTGTTTTGCACAACCATTGTATATTATTTATTTCTGCTTTATTGTCTTCACATTATGTATACACACATATGTAATATGCACACACACATATATAGAGTAAATTTTCATTATTTGCTGTAGGTTCATTCTCTGAAGCTGCTGCTAATGCTGAGTTTGTGAATACTGAACCATGAATACTGAACCGTTGCTCTCATGGAAAATACAGGGTTAAACCCCTGCGGGCCTTTGGTTAGTATTTTTTTGCCCGCTCCTATCCTGGTCACATTTTTGTCAATGTATCAATACATCATCTTGTTTTGTGTGTTTCTGTTTAAAGTCACCTTATTTAATACATGTTGTGATTCATTAACTTTGAGCTCATGGCCAACAGCATTCATGCCTGAGTGAAGCTTATCTTTCACATCTGTTTTCTCCGTGAGGCACACACAGCCTTCTTGTGCTTAGCCACACTAGACAGCACTTCCACACTATGCTCGGGGACCACCTCAAACAAAAAAGTTGCAAACAAAAAGCACAAAAATGCAAAAAGCACAGCACGGTAAAGGCTGCCAAAAGGACATTCACTTGCAGTATGCGAGCTGATGCGGGAAGGCAGAGCATCCCCTTCTTCTACCTCAGCTGGGAACATGCACGTTGGGTGGCAAATCTTCCACCATTTTTCATGTGCCTTTTCACGGGGAATGGCTGTGAAAGAACCACATTGTCGACTTGGGTATCACGAAGAAATTTTAGTCAGTAGGCAAATTTGCAAATGTGGAATATGTGTAGAATGAGGATAAACTCTGTGTGTGTGTGTGTGTGTGTGTGTGCGCGCGTGCACCTATTATGTTCCTGCTCCTTGCCAGATGCTGTGTTAAGCATTGTGGTTTACAAAGGAGGATATCACAATTTGGAAATGAAGATAATCAAATAAACTGATACATACAATGTGGTATAAAATACTCAAGAGGAAAGCACGTGTCACTGAGGCCTCATCATGAGGTTACCTGGTGGAGCATCGACGTTCAGGAAACGTTTCCTGGAAAGAGTTGCCAGTGAGTGGAATCCTCAAGGACAAGTACAAAAGAAACCTTTCGTATTTTGTTTCATAGCAGCATCTAGTGTGGTGTCTAGATACATTATAAGTAAACAAAGATAAAGCTTTAATTAGCAACATCTACTTAGGTTACAAATATGAAATAGGAAAAAAGTATATGTAAGTGAAGCTTGGATATACAATTATTTCTAAAGTCCTAGAGATCCATTTCAGCTATGGTAATTACTGAAGCAGAGCCGGGCACTTTCCTCGTCGGAAGACATGACGTGAGATGACATCACGCATGACTAAATGGGGACAGGCAGAGCACTGAAGAGATTGACAGCGGCCGAAATCCAGAGAGGCTCGTATGTCATGCAGAAGAGGGGGAGATTGAGAAGGAGTCATGCAGGGAGTAGAAAGATCATCTGTTGTGGCATTTTAAAATCAAGGTGGACATTTTAATGGAGAGAGTGGTAAGCATTGGAAAGA
Organism: Homo sapiens; assembly: GCF_000001405.40. Classification (NCBI taxonomy): domain Eukaryota; kingdom Metazoa; phylum Chordata; class Mammalia; order Primates; family Hominidae; genus Homo; species Homo sapiens. The sequence continues at coordinate 54,640 of NT_187679.1, forward strand.
GTCCAAGTAGCGTGAAGAATGAGAAGCATCCATTCACTGAGGTTCACAGCTAGAAGGTCATTATTGACCTTGGCAGGCATGGTCTCAGTGGAGAATTGGAGGCAGGAGCTAGATTGCAGGGCACTGAAGACCACATTGAAGGCCATGTGCATGCCTTGACCTCTAACTCCAAACACGCTGGCCATTTCCACCTCCTCTAACATGCTGTGTTTCCTCTGAATCAGGGTCTAAACATTCTCTCCCTTCTTATTCCGTTAACTCCTTCTTAAAGGTAACTGGCCTTCTTAAAGGTAACTGGCTCAGATGTTTCTCTTCCACAGCATCTTCCCTAAACACCACCTGCCATATCAGGACTCCCTGTTACACATTCGGACAGCACACTGTCACAGACTCTCATTCCAGGTCTACCTGCTGATCTGAATGGGGTCTACCTCCCCGTCCCACCACTAGGCGAAGACTGGGATCATGTCTTGTTTTCCTGACAATGGTATCCACAGTACCAGAGACGTTCCTGGCACATGTGTTTCATTCAACTGAGAACTATTTCCTATAAAATACTGAAACCTCCTTGCATTTATTCATTCATTTAGCTTCTCTGCAGTGCCTTGCATATGCAAACATGCTTGATAAATATGTTTAAACAACCAAACAGTAGTTAATTAAGATAGGACTATTGAGTTGGTCACAGAACATCTAGAATCTTCCTCCAATACTATATGATTTGCCTTCTTTGGTCATCACTCTGTCATCTTTGCCAGGAATAATGCCTGGCACAGAGTTAATGCATAACAATTTTTGTTGAATTAATAAATGAGTGATTAAATTAATATAAAATTATAATTAGTTATGGTCTAATTTATGCCTTAAGTTTATAAACTTATAAGGCAAATTTCAAAAAAAGTCAGAAAATGCTCTGCAAGGCAAGAAGAGCATTTCAAAGGGAATTCTGGGTCTTCTTGTAAACTTTACTACGAGGAAGAAAATAAAAATGCACTTAAAAATCATCAGAAGGATTTTTCTAATGAGCTCAAATTTGAAAGGCTTTGAATAAGACACGCAAGACTTAAACATTACCAAGTACACATATGCAGTAAAATTATGAGTTTCTTTTAAAATATACTGAAGCCAGAATAAGGGGAAAAATTAAAAGTAAAAAAAAAGTTACACATTTTAGTTTATCCATGGAGCTATATGAAACATAAAAAAATGGCACCTAAGGTCATCAACATCTTTAATACTCAAAAAATGCAAAATTAAAAACACACGTAACAAGTGTGACTACGTGCTCACTAGCATGGCTGAACAAAATACTGATAATAGCAAGCCCTGGTGAAAATATGGACCAACTGGACCTCTCGCATACTATTTATGGGAATGTAAACTACTGTAACTACTTTGAAAATATTTAGCATGTTTTTATAAAGTTAAATATAAACTTATATTATGACCCAACTTTATTACTGAGAAATGAAAGCTTATGTCCGTAAAAAAAAGCTTGTACTTAAATGTTCACGGCAGCTTTATTCATAATAGCCCCAAACTGAAACCAACTCAAATATCCATGAATAGGCCAATGGAGAAGCAAATGATGGCATACCAAGGGATGTGTCTCGACAACAAAACAGAATGCATACATACCCTCAAAACTACTTCAGTGAGATAATTCAGATTAAAACACTACAGACTATATGATCCTATTTGTACGAAGTTCTAGAACAGATTAAAGTGATATGTGGTGATAGAAATTCGATCAGGGTTTGTGTGGGATGAGTGGTCGGGAAGGTCATTTGGAAGGGACCAAAAAGGATGTCTCAGAATGGTGAAAATATTCTTATATCTAAAATGTGATGGTGGTTACCTTGTTGTATACATTGTCATGGGCCTATACATTGGTGTGTTTACAATGGGTGTGTCTATTGTATGTGGGTGTATACATTGGTCAAATGTATTATACTCTGTGTTTAAAATAGGTGCATTATTTTTATTATATGCAAATCATGTCCCAATAAATTTTATAAAACTTTTAAATTTAAAATTATATGTTAACTGTAAAAAGAGAGAAAACAGACATCTTCAACTCTTGTTTTATTTCTACTCTTACTGCTGAGAAGAAGGTAGCAGAATTGACATTGATAAAAAAATCACCAAAATCAAGTTAATGCAGAAGATTGTATGGTAGCGTCTAGCTCTTCCAAATAAGTTCAAATTTTAAAACACAGAAGTTATACCCTGTGTATGTTGGTCAGTGTTCTTCATTGCCATAAATAGAATTCACTCTGGTGGATTTAAACTGCTATGGACTGAATCGTTTCTCCCTCAAAATTCTTGTGTTGAAGGCCTCGCCCTCACTGTTCCTATATACAGAGATAGGACCTTCTTGGATGTAACTAAGGGTTAATGAGGTTGCAAGGATGGGGCCCTGAGTTGATAAAGTTGGTATCTTTACAGAAAGGCAACCAGCGAGCTCGCTCTCTTTCCTCCATGTGAGGACATAGCGAGAAGGCAGCCACTTGCAAGACAGGAAGAGAGCCCTCACCAGAAACCAATCTACCAGACCTTCACCGACGAGCTACAGCCTCCAGAACTGTGAGAAAATAGACTTCTATTATTTAAGCCGCACAGTCTATAGTATTTTGTTGTGACAGCCCAAGCAGCCTAATTCAAGCTGAAGTTCTTTATTACAGGGTGCTAGAGAGCTTGCAGAATCTCTGGGACCACAGGGAAGTCAGTTTTCATTGCTTCTCAAAGATCTGCTGCTTAAACCTCTGCTGGAGCCCCCAGGAAAACCAAGTGTCTCGGGCTCATATCCACAAGAGGAACCATCATTTCTCCCATGGTCACTGTCTCAGCTGCCTCCCTTCATTTGCCCCAGTCTCCCACTGGGGTGTGTGCCCGGCAGAGCCTGGGTGGTCCCACCCTCAGAGTCCACACCTCCAGAGCATTGAGGTCCCTTGGTGGGAAGATTGCTGGGCTGCATTCGGGGACTGTGAGGAGCACTTCAGGGAAGACGGGAAAAGACTGAAAATATTCTCTAGCCGAAAGAGAACTGAAGAATCACAGAGCAGACCTGTGAGCCTGATATTCTTTTGCCAAATTTCAAAGCAGGCTATTAAAGAGATAGATTTTGAATATTATAGTGAAAAAAGTAATAATAACAAAAGGCAACACAATTTTATCATGAACTAGGTTTCTCAGATTATTATACCTGGTTGATCTCAGAATGACATCTGAGGGTCTCCCATACTATAATTTTCACAGGATTCAAAAATGTGAGAGGTTTTTTTTTTTAAGAAAAAACATAATTGATTGATACCATCCTGAAAAGAAGTTCGTAGGTAATCAGCATAAGAAACAATTTTTAATATGAGCAGACACGCATCAGCTTACCGAATTTGCACATGACACAGTATCCAGGCACAGGTCAAAAGAGGCTGCCTCTGACAGCCGTTCTAATATTTTTTCTGCTGCCTCAACTAGTGTCTTCCCTACTGCCCCCACCATCACTCTGACTCTTCCTAAGAGCACTGGGTTGGGACGATACTCCACCCACTGTTGATCTGTTTGATCAGGGGCAGTCCATTTCACCTCCCAGGGCCGCCAGTTTCTCTTCTGCACACAGAGATGACTCCCAAGGCCTCTTCAGCTTTTAGTCCCCATGACTCTTATGAAGCCTTTGGGCTTGGCAGCACTTTTTTTCCCCTCTGAAAACAGTTTTTAATTTGCCCTTACCTGTGGATGGGTTCCCTGAAGCTATCCAATTGATATGTCACTGAGCATTTGGAAATTGTCGTTATGAAGGGCAGTTGAAGAGTAAATTTTTTTTTCTGCGACATCTTTGTTCACAGCTGTGCCTTGTAGTATACCCAGGGAGGGATTTAAAAACAAACAAAAAACTGGAGGGAGAAGAAAGAATGAGGAAAATGATAAATTGTGTTGGAAATCATCTAATGATGAGCCTGTTCTGGGAAATCCTTAACCACAGGAATGAGCTTCACCTGGTGTTGAGCATTCAACTCCTTCTGGTTGAATGCCAGAGAAGGTGTGAGCTGCAATGACTCTAACAAGACTGGGGAATCGGGGCAGCCTCTGCGCTTGGACCCGAGGCCAGCCCAAGACAGTGACACCCGCTACTCGCCCCGCTTTCTTCCTAGCACCCTCATTACAAGAACAGCAGCCTTTACAGTTAAGCAAAGTGCAAACTCCTCTGACCTTTGGTTCTTCTGCAATAAAGTCAGCTGGCTGCTTTTAATGTTTCCTTTCATGGCTTTCAGAAAACCCTCCTCCCATGTGAAATGTGAAATTTTGAAAGGGTCCAAGCCGTATCTCACATGGAAAGGGACGCTAGACAGGAATAATTTACATCTTAAAGTTATGAACACAAAATTAATTAGAAAATTGAACCAGGGTGAGCGGTAGTGAAAAAACAGCTGTTCCTGTTTTAGCCTCGGTTTCATTTCTCCCACAGATTCTAAATCTCAGGGAGCTTGTGAACTCAATTCCCTTTAATTGTCTCTATGCAAGCACAGTCATGCTAGTTCAAAGCTCATAAACATCGAGGTCTAACGTTACTTGTTTGAATGATGCATTCATTCTGGGACTAAGTGTGAGAATGCCAATAAGCCCTCTGCATAACTCAAAAGAGTGTAGGCATTGTGAGAAAATGAATCGAATAAATGGAAACACTGGATCTCCAAATTCATTTCCAAAATTAAAAACCAGCTACCTACCATTGGTATTTTATACATCTGTATACTTTCTGGTAAAACATTATTTAAAATAAATTCACAAGTCACGATCCTTGAGCAAAAACTAGCAATACATTTTCTTGGAGCCATTTGACTTCTCAGATTTGTGGAGAGAAGAAATGAGGACTATTAATAGAGAATTTCTAGGTTTTTGTTACAGTGTTTATGAAGGACCCTGATCCTGTATGCCCCATAGGTCCCTTTTCCACAGACACGTGAATCAGTGGGAACTGAGAATTCACATTTAACACCAGGTTCTCTGGCCACGCATAAAACACAAATCCTTTCCCCAGAATGCTGCACGTTTTAACACAGGATCTCTTCTTGCTGAACATGCTGAAACTGTCCATTCCCTTGCTCTGTTACCTGCTCTTCATATTCTGCTGAGAACAAATGTGTCAAATGAACAGATTGCTCTGACAGTCAGCTTTTGTCAAACTAGGAAAATTATACCCAGGCCTTGTCAGGAAAACAAGCTTTGGAGTCTTCTGGATGCACCTGTGAAGCTGGCCCTGCTCACAGCTGCACACCCTCCTGGCATTCCAACATTGGCCACGTTGATTCAAAGCACAACCGATGAGAAATCTCTCAGGCAACCTCTCCTTCAGCTGACACAGCCAACTGGCTATGAGCAAGTGTTTGTCAAGGCCCAGTCGGAATTGCTGACCATAAAACATAAGATAATGAGCAAAAATTAGCTCTGGAAGAGAAGTTTCAGTTGTCTGCACTTGTCCTTTCCAGGTTTTATGGCCCCTGGAAACCCAGGAATTCATTACTTCATCCTCCTTCGTGTTTTAGTATTTCAGGGGAGTTTGTGATATTCTCTAAATTGGTTTACCTTTCATTTAGGATTAGGAAAATAGTTGAATTATCATTAATAGTGTGAGTCTGCTAATTTGCTTGTGATGGTTAAGAATTCCCTGTTGAAGAAGATAGCCAAAGATTCTTCGCGGGGGCTGTATCACCTGGAGCTTTTCCCTCTGGTGTGTTTCTGATCCATCTTTGACCCAGGGTATCTGAGGCCCGTCTGGTGCGCTGAAGGCTTTTTGGTGAGCTCTAGATGGATTTTAAGATTTTTACATAAATCTCAGGATGGCTGGGAAGTTATCACAACACAAAGTAAGACGGAAATAGAGATGACCTTTCTTGCTCCATTACTGTCATTGGATGCTGGCTAATTTGAAAGTAGCAAAATGATGTGTCTACCTCTAGTTATAACTCAGTTTCCAAACAAATTATATATTGCTATAAAGGTAAAACCTACACTCATACTCTTGTATGTGAGGTAAATTTTTTTCTAAGAAGAAATGACTAATTTTTAAAGTAATTTTATAACCAATTCTACCTGTGTTTACCATTTGCTTCCAACCAAAAGTTTAATTTGGACTTGATCTTTCAGAAGATTGGAACATTTTGTTCATAAATACTGTTTTTTTCTTTCTGGTTTTAATGGGCTGACCTAACCCCTACCCCCATTGAGGTTCTGTGGTATATTTATTTAGCAATCAACTATTGGGATGAAAAAATAATGGTCCCTAGCACACGAAACCATGAATGTATTGCTTATTACACTTTGCTAGAATTTAGTATAAACACATAGATACAAGCATCATATTAAACAGCTATGAAATTATTGTACAATTGACAAATGAAATTTGAAAGATACTTCTTTAAGTATCTCTCAGAGTTCATTCTGCCAAGAATAATTTTCTTTAATTAATTGGTTAGGCATTTATTTAAGCCATTTCTTTAAATTCTAGGGCAGAGGCAACAATCTATGTCTAATTTGTTTTCCCAATTACAAGTGGATTTGTACTGAAAATTGAAAGGTGAACTGGAGCTGACAAACTTATTTTAGGATATCTTGCAGTTAGCATAAGTTAACCAAACGCCACAGAACTTTTAGATTCAGCTGGCAGTGAGAAGTGTGTATTCAGATGAGTTTATGAATTTTCATCTTGTTTCTAATCTTTAAATAATTTGCTCTCTTTTATATGTTCTTTCTCAGCCTGTTGCAGTAACTAAAAAAAAAAAATCCTGTTCTGAAATCATATCGACTCTGAAACTAAATCTATCCAGTGATTAAACAGTGCTCTTCTCTCTTCTCTGTACACTTTGCCTTATAATTCTCTCAAGGCATCTATGTAATTATTCATTTGTCCTTGAAGTTTTGCCAACTTTTATTTGTTATGAGCCCATGAATTCAGTATCTGGAAGATGCCATTACTCCCACATTACATTTGACCATATTACAGGATCAGATGTAGTAAATATAACACACAAAACTCATGGGTTTTCTGCGGAGGGGCCGTACAATACCCAACGAAGTGTGAGAGGTGAAAGAACCTTGAAGTGTCGTAGATGCAAAAAAATATGTGAATGTAAGTTCTGATCTATGGGAGCTGAAGGAAGTAGCAAGGACACCTCCTGATTTGATAGTTGGAGCATTTAAGGACGGAAGATAAAGCAGAAATGTGATTTGTAGCCACCACCAAACATACCTTCCTTGCTAATACCAGGCCTTTTAACAGCCTTCTTTTGAAAACGCTTTCTGCACTATGGATGTGTTGTATTTCTATGCTTTTGACAATTGAGTAGACTGTTTATTAACCTCCTAGGAAAAGGATCCAACCTAATTTTTATTGTTAGTGAGATAACTGTTCATCACATAGTGGTTTCCTTAACAGAGTGAATGACTGACATACTCACCTTAGGAAGTCTGTAAAACAATACAATTCCAATTACTCCAGGCAATTTGTGTTGTTCTGTCTGGTTTTTAAACAATTCTTTTAGCAGCTGGGCCATTTTAAAAAGGGCATCACTCACAAGAGACGAGTGTATAGAATTGATTACAGTAAGGACAGCACATGGGGTACCTCATTCTCCCCGAGGGCTTGACATGGACCCCATGTGGGTTTGTGCACACACATTGCATGGATCCCCCATAGATGCATATACACATACACACACTGCATGGAACCCCTGTACGCATACACACACACACACACACACTGCACGGAACTCCTGTATGCATACGCACACGCACTCACACTGCACGGAACCCCTGTACGCATATACACACAGGCACACACGCACTCACACTGCACGGAACTCCCGTATGCATATACACACAGGCACACACGCACTCACACTGCATGGAACCCCTGTACGCATATATACACACAGGCACACACACACACACACACACTGCACGGAACCCCTGTACGCATACGCGCACACACACACACTGCACGGAACTCCTGTATGCATATACACACAGGCACACACGCACTCACACTGCACGGAACTCCTGTACGCATATACACACACACACGCACTCACACACACTGCACAGAACCCCTGTATGCATATACACACACACACACGCACTCACACTGCACGGAACCCCTGTATGCATACACACACACACACGCGCACTCACTCTGCATGGACCCCGTACCTGCATGTACACACACACACACTGCACAGAACCCCTGTATGCATGTACACACACATACTGCACAGATGCACACACCTCCCCCGCATGGAAACCTTCTCAAGGTCACTCAGTTAGCAAATGACACAGCTAAACCTTGAAATCACTCAGACTGGCTCTGGAGTGAGGCCATAGAATAGTGTCTTCAAGGAACAAACTAAAACTGGTGATAACAAAACGGCTAGCAGCACTTTAGGGAAAAAGAACACATTTAATAAGTGGCTGGAAGAGATCATGTAGTAGGTTCATTTTCAAACCGTGTCCCTTAGATCTCCAGTTTCTTAACCTCTTTGACCCCGTGTGTTCTAATCTGTAAGGGGATATAATAACCGTAACTACCTCAGAGGATTGTTTTGTGTATTAAATGATTTAATCCACATGCAGCCTTTAAAATACTGCCTGGCATATACTAAGCACTTAATAAGCTTCAGCTACTATTATTCAATTCGTAAACCGAGTGCCTACAATGAACAATGCACTGAGGGTTTTAGGGGATAAAGAGAGTCAGTAATACCTAATCCTAGACCACAAGAAGTTTGCAACATACTTAGATAGGAACTAGATAAGTGCTTTAAAAAATTTCTAAGTTTTTTGAGGATGCCGATACCCAAAACATTCTCCAGTCCACTGGGACCTTGCTGAAAGGGAAGGGAATGGATGCAAACTGCAATGTGTGGTTGCCAGTGTCCAAGTCATTAGCAATGGGTGGCAAATGCCCAGTTGCTCCAGGCAGCAGACTCTCTGATACACTACAATGAATCAAGGAGGACCACCACCCTTCCTCCACAGCCTAACTACAGGATTGGCATGAAGCCAGGCAGAGGAGCTGCCCACCCAGCTGCTTGAACCAGACCCTAGCATGTGTAACGCCTGGAGAGGTCCCAAGTGCAGCATACCAGAGTGAAAAAGCAAAAAAAGAACAAATATATCCTGCCTGAAAACTGAGTTTCGGCACCTCACCCTGCTCACTGGAGCACCATAGCTAATGAATGCCAGGTTCTCACCAAACTCACCAGATTAATCGATCCGTCTCCTGGAAGGAGGAGCAAGTAAGGGGACTCAGTTGTCCTCAAGAGAGTCAGATGACACCACTGTGGGAAAGAAGAGGTTAAAATTGAAAGAGGTTCACACGGTGACAGGGATACCAAATTGTCCTGAAATGAGCAGCACAGTCTTGTAAAATGAAGAACTGTCCTGCTCAATGCGTCACGGATGCCCCCGATAAGAAATGGTAGAAAGAACAACAGGAACACCCTCTCCAAATTTTTCCCGCAGAATTAGGGTAATGGCGGGAAGTCCCTTCTCTATGACCCTAGGTGCAAAAGTAGGGGGAAAAAGAAAAGCATTCTCCACTCCAACCCACACACACACACACACACACACACACACATACACAAAAGATCACTTCTAACTGCAATCATGAAGTCTCCCAAGGAAAAAAATCAAGGTCCTAGCAGCAAGAATTTTTTTATAGATGTCGAGATATGCAAGAAGCAGAGAGGGGGTAGTATGGAAAAGGAATAGGGACAGAAAAACAGAGGGTACAGGCAAGAAAGGGCAAATGGGCGTAATGTACAAGTAGGTGCCAGAGCTGGAGAAGCACGGGAGCTGCCTTCAAGGTCCCTGGGTCAGAATCCATGGGTGGTGACCATTCTGCAATGCTGGATCTCAGCCTGTACACAGTGGAGAAGGTGGTGACCATTCTGCAACGCTGGATCTCAGCCTGTACACAGTGGAGAAGCACTGCCTATGTGGACTGGAGAAAGTAGACAGTCAGAGAAGCAGCAGATTAAAAGGATTCGACTAACAACAGACACAATTTAGAAGGCTGCTTTGGTTGTCCCAGCAAGAATATCACAGATATTCTTCCTTCTTCAAACTTAGATCAACACAATTTTTATGCATACACGTTGAATGTTTGTATGCAACACATCTTAGCGTATAAGTACATCATGTTCTTTACAATTATTTTATCCAAATTGCACTGAGATCATTCTGAACTCTGAATTAGAACTGGAGCAAGCCTTAGTAGTCATTTGATCCAACCCTCTCGATTTTTCACTGTAGGAATCTGAAGATAAGGAAAGTTGAAGGTATCCTTACCAAGGTCACAGAGACAGCTAATGACTTTATAAGTTTTGGAAAACAAGTACTATGTCTTACATTTCTAATAGAATGTTATTTAATTTTGAAAACATCTTTTAATCCAGCACTTTGAAAGTGATCAGCTTTTAATGGAATGCCTTTTGCCCATGAAAATTGAACTTTTGAAAATAACGTCTGGTTAAACAAAACAAAACAGAAAATCCTCTCACAACAGATGTAGTGTAACCAGATTACAACTTAATCTCACAACTGACCTTCAAAGAAAATACTAAATTTCTGTGTTCAGATACTTCCTGAATGGGGTAACTAGGTTATCATTTTAAACATCCTCATTATGTAATAACAAAAATGTCACCCTGAATTCATCCAATCACAAGATTTTTGACATAAAAATATTTCCCATAAATATAAAAATGATTGTCTATAAATAATAAAGCCATGAACAATAGCCATAGAGCTAAGATATTAAATCTTAAGAACAATAGCCATAAAAAAGGATGACTTCATTTCCTTTGTAGAAACATGGATGAAGCTGGAAACCATCATTCTGAGCAAACTATTGCCAAGGACAGAAAACCAAACACCACATGTTCTCACTCATAGGTGGCAATTGAACAATGAGAACACATGGACACAGGGTGGGGAACATCACACACCAGGGTTTGTTGTGGGGTGGGGGGAGGGGGGAGGGAGAGCATTAGGAAAAATACCTAATGTAAATGATGAGTTAATGGGTGCAGCACACCAACATGGCACATGTATACATTTGTAACAAGCCTGCACGTTGTGCACATGTACCCTAGAACTTAAAGTATAATAATAATAAAAAAAAAGAAAAAGAAAGAAAGAAGAAAGAAAGAAGACAGAAAGAAAGAAAGGAAGAAAGAAAGAAGGAAAGAAAGAGAAAGAAAGAAAGAACAGTAGCCATGAAGCTAGGATATTAAATATGTGTCACATTTTATTAGTGAGGAAGGTTCTGTTCTCAGTATGAGTTCAGCCATTCTTTCTTTCTGGGGATTTTATATTATTGGTGCTTGATTTAAAGAGGTGAATTCTTAGAATAAAAATATGGCAAAGAACTCATTGGCCAACTTTTCAGATGTTTTGCGGGCTTTGCGTATCTAAAAGATAGCTAAGAATGTAGCCCTCCTCTGATCATTAGATTGTGCCTTCTGTTGAATAACAACATCTCTTCAAGAACAATCTCTGTAAACCACCTCACACACTTTTCATTGAAGCTTAAATAGAAATGTTCATTAATTAAATATACAGTATGTTTTAAATACTTCCTTGGTTTTATTCCATCTCCAAAGTGACCTCTAAGCAGGTTTAAGTAAATGCTTTAAAAAATATCAATTATTGGAGGTCTGAGTGCTTTTAGCTATAGCTGCCCAAGTGAGTTGGCAAAAAGGAGATGAGGTTTTCAGATGCTTCAGGGCAAGGATGTGCTTTCCCCTAGCCTATGGGGTAATAACCCTCTGATTCCTTCACTGGTTCCAAAGTCTATATTTAGGCTTACAAGTGTTTTAGAATAAAAATATCATGATATTTTTCTTTTTTAAAAAATTCCAATTTAGCTACTTCACAGACAATGTTTTGTATATTCTACCATTTTCCTTAATTCCGATGATAGAAAAAGACAATGATTTCCCATCCCTCAAAGTTTCCAAAGAAAGGTGGAAACTTCCATTCTACTCCCAGTTGGGAAAAGTATAAAAGCAACGTCGTTAGTCCCCCTTTAAACCCTTCCACTGGCCCCAGGGAGACAGGAGTGACTATTAATTAGGGCCTTAGAAAAGAAACCCTCTGGGTTTACTTTTTTTTTTTTTTAAGATCATCTTGTTGAAAACACAGCTGAGAACTTCTGCACCACTGCTAATTGATCAGTATGTAGAGATTTTTTTTTTTGTTCATCTGTGTGATTTATCTTTCTTCCTTCTCCTTTTATCTCAAATTTCAAATGGTTTAGAATTGGGAGATACACAGATTAGAAGACAGCAAATTCAATCACAAATTTACAAGGAAAACTAAAGTACCACATTGTAAGATACATTCCAAGTTTAAAATGGCCGATGTAGGGAAAGGAGAGTATGGAAAACACAGTATTTGGAAAATATTTAACAGATATGTTTATTTTTTCCACCACAATTAAGTATCTAATTGGTAATCAACATTTGTCTAAGGGAAGATGATACCTGAACTTCAGTACAGCGTTATGAGTGGAGTAGCACCTCCCTTACTGAATGAAGCCACAAGGTTCCCACCGTTGTCTTTCTCCTGGCAGCATCATCCAGGACTAAAATGTCAAGTCTTCCTCCTGGGTGTCAGTCTGTATCCCAGCCCCACTACAGCTGTACGGACTCCTCAGCTAACATAACGCTGTGCTGCAAGGTTATGTGATGATTCTCCACTTTCCTCAGAGTCTTCACCGGTGCCATCTCAGGCTGTTAGCCCAATCAGGTCCAGGGACTCGGCCAAGCGGACACAGGGTTCTCACTGCAGAGGTGGAGTCTGAGTGCACCAGGCAAGGAATGAGGCACAAGCACAGACGGGCCTCGGACTAGAGAGAAAACGTGGAGTCAGGTCCCACCAGACTCTGAAATTAGAAAAATCCAGGTGATGTGGCCATGGGGAATGTCATATCCAGCTCAGGATTTTTCAAATTCGAGCCCCACACGATGGTGATTGCAAAGCCTTCCTGTGAGTGCCACATGGGAAGAAAAAAAGTCTCTACAGAGGGAAGCTTACAAATTCATCTTGCGAAGACAGTTTAACAGTCTAGGAGGCTCTAGCTTCCACCTAAGCATACATAGATTTTCTTAAAGGAGCTATTTATTTAAAATATAAATTGTGTCCCTCAGAACAAAAGATGTAAGATAGCTAACAATTATAACTAGTTTCAGGGAAAAACAAGTAAACAGCATAATATTTGTTACCAGTTAATGACCCCATAATAAATAATCTGCAATTGATTAAATAATCCTTTAGGCTGAGCCCTGAAATACCAACATTGGCAAAATTAACGAATCTTCTGTAGGACCTAGTTACCAATAGACTTTAGATCAGCCAGATGGGTGCTCCAGAAAATGCACTGTAAGCTCTTTAGCCCAATCACAGATATTACGCCAACTACGGGGCCATTCTTCTAACAAAGATAACGCATTTCTTTTGATTAATGACTTGGAGTTTTTCAAATTTTTTTGTATTAATGGGTAATCCAAAATAGTTATTTTAGGCCGACAATAAAGCAAAATGCAACCAGGAGTTCACAGCTGTATAATCTGCTCATTGAGCATTTTGGTTCCAAAATCAGATTGATGAGATTGGAGTCCATGCTCTGGCACATGCTCAGCTCTGAGTCTTTGGGCAAATCACTTAATCACTCTGCCTCCATTTTCTCATCTTTAACGTTAAAGATGAGAAATAATAGTTTCTATTATTATTTCTATTAATAGTTGTCTATTAATAGAAATAATAGTCAAAATAATAGTTTTTACTTCACAGGTTACAGTGAAGATCAGCTGATGCAGATACTGATCTGAGAACAGTACCTGGTGCATATTATGTCCTCAATAAATGAAACATTCGTAATATTTTTGGTTTGAAACCGCCTTTGCAAACACTATAACAGAGAGAAAATTATGAGGGTGAAAGAGATCTGATGAAACCAACTCCATCTTTGCCTCCAGCCTCCAAACTGCCCTTGTTCATTTCTGTCCAAGCGAACTACAGGAGGAATTTAGCTTATAGTTTAACTTCGAAACAAAGATTATAACATTTCTTTCCTGAAACAAGTCCCCTCCTTGACTGGGGACAAGAACATCCTTGTAAAACTAACAAGTTAGCGGCAAGATTAGAAATGATGGCTCAGGAGCCACGCAGCCAGAGGCTAGAAGATCACTTCACTTCCCCAGTTGCTCCAATGGGTAACATTTCTATTGTAAAACCTAAGATCGGTGTTCCAGGCATTTTTCAAACCCTGCATTCTTATGGATGAGCTGGGGCCACCCAGACTGGTACACTGGCTCATCCTGTCTTGCGGCCCTCACCCAGGAACCGAGTCAGCACAAGAGGACACTGTGACTCCCTGCAATTCCATCCCTGGCCTGAACCATCAGCGTCTCCATTCCCTAGCCCCTGCCCACCAAAGTATCTCCGAAGAACCCTACCCTCTGAAATTTCAGGGTGGCTAATTTGAGTAATAAGAAAGCCTTGGCTTGACCTTTCGCCAGCTCCACACATACTGAACCCTTTCTCTACTGCAATCCTGCTGTCTTGGTAAATCAGCAGCGGGCAAGAAGAACCTGCAGGTGGTTACAGTGTTAACAGTAAATTCACTGTACCTCTTGCTTAACTACAGAAGCAACAGAAGAGAAAAATACAGTTTTGTCTACATTCAACTTTGCTTAAGATGCAATGGAACCCATCATTTAGAATTGCAGCTCATTATAAATATTAAATAAACAAATTTATTAACTCTTAAGGGTTTAAGACCCTGCAGTCAAACAGGTCAAGCAGGATCTTGAAAGTATTTAAATGTTCTTGTTTTTAGCCATTATTTTCTCTAATAATGCAGTCAACTAGGCATCATTTTTAAACTACAAAAAGTTTGAATCAAAAGAGCCTGTTTATGTTTTGTTTTGTTTTTTTTTTTTTGAGACAGGGTCTCGCTCTCTGGCTCAGGATGGAGTAAAGTGGAGTGATCTTGGCTCATTGCAAATTCCACCTTCCGAGTTCAAGGGATTCTCCTACATCACCCTCCTGAGAAGCTGGGATTACAGGCCTGCACCACCATGACAGACTAATTTTGGTATTTTAGTACAGATGGGCTTTCCCCATGTTGGCCCAGGCTAGTCTCGAACTCCTGACCTTAAGTGATCTGCCCACTTTCGCCTCCCAAAGTGCTTGGATTACCGGTGTGAGCCATTGCCTAAAACAGCCTGTTTTTCGAAGTACATTTATTCTCCTTGTGCCTGTCCCAGAGCACAGGTTTCGCTGCTTGGCCTTAATGTAATTTCTCTTTTGAGCATTTCCGTGTACACTTTGACTGTGGCCTTCATCCCTCGTCAGGTTTGCAACTGCAATTTTCACTAATCCCCGTGAGCACTTTCCCTCACAAGGAACAGAGAGCCCAGGCTGTTAACCTAGTCGAGGAGACTGGACCACATGTTAGATATCACAGGCCTTTGATTCCAAGCAATACTTTTCAGTTGACAGTTCACTGAGAATTTAATACATATTTAACAAAGATCATAGAGAGATGTTTATCCTGGTTGCCCCCCAGAAAGAGTCCCTACATCAGAAATTCCGGCTGATTTCAGAGACGTCTGTAACCTGCATTAAAATTCAGAAACGTATTTTCAATAAAGACGTTGGTTCAAATGTGTTTATTTTCCTTGAGTAGGCCATACATGCAAGAAAAAATAAACAGAACATACAACCTCTTGACTTTGAACTTGAAGACAAACTCACCTCAAGAAAAACAGCCTGCACTTAAGCTGTGGAGAGGGTTGGATTAGGGGCTTGGAAGACCATCCCAGCATCCAGTTGTCTGATGTTAACAAGGAATCAGAGGTCGCCAGATCATCTCATCTGTTTCCACTCATCTGTTTACCCGTTCATTCAAAAAACTGAATATTGGGTCCCAATATTTAAGTTTTCAAAAAATTCTAACAAGGTTACGGCTTATTAAAGGAAGAAAAAAGAAACAAGTTAGCTTGGAAACAAGAAGGTATAATTTTTTCTCTCATGAACTTTTCTTTAAAAAACACTAAGAAAAAAGACAATGCAAAAAGAGAGAGAGAGAGAAATAAATAGTAGATTTTCAAGAACAAAAGCACATTCAGAATAAAAAAAAAAGTAGCCTCAGTCAAAACACTATCCATAAAGATAATTCATTTCAGGAACAGACTGAACACCAGGAAATTTAGTATTTGAAACAAGTTTGGTATTCAGAATAATAATTGTAATGAGTTGAGAGCTACTTTCAATCCAAGTTTTTAGCATAATAAGCAATAATCTATTCATACAGGCAGAAGTCAGCATGAAGTGAATTGTTATTTACACATTACATGCATTAAACTTGCTGAAATCTGGGGAGTGTTTTAATTGTTATTCTTGAAGAGAAAAATGTCAAAGAGAAAACCTTAAGGTTACTTAGAGTCTGTGTGGGGCTGTAATGCATGATTGGAGCCGGGGCTTGTCCATGAAGATGGTCTAGCATGCTGTATCCATGGAAAGCTACACCAAGCCTGCTGCTCAGAGATACTGCTTTCAACCCTGGGTTAGCAAATTTAAGAACTGCAAGCTGAGAAAACAGATGTGGACAGTAAGACCCCTAATTCAAAGCACACAACAGTTACGACGCCCTCCCGTGAGTGAACAGATGGTGACAGTCAACAGGTTTCCCCATAATCACTAAAATGAGGGCACGGAGGCAGATTGCATTAACGAAAGAAAAACAGTCTTACTGAAGGGTGGCAACTTTTCATTGTTGCACCGTCTACCCTTTCGCAGAAGCAAAATTCAAAGGGCTAAGAGACTTCAGAAAGCCAAACACAACTCGCTGCGTGCTGACACAGCCTCCCTCGTAGAGAAACTCCTATATAACTTTGCTAATCTTGGATAGCACAGAGACACAACTCGCTGCGTGCTGACACAGGCTCCCCCATAGAGAAACTCCTGTATACCTTTGCCTAAGCTTGGATAGCAGAGAGACACAACAACTTGCTGTGTGCTGACACAGCCTCCCTCAGAGAGAAACTCCTGTATACCTTTGCCTCTGCTTGTATAGCACAGAGACACTTTAAATTTACAAGCACAAACAGGAACCCTTGTTTATATTATCTCTCAAAAAATTCTTTCCGCAGTGACCTCCTGCTCAGCAAATAGCACCACAAACTCCTGAGCTGTTCGAGCAACTTTCATCCTTCACATGATCTTTCTTCTAGATGCCCCACCTATCATCTAGTCCTGTTGATTTTTTGTCCAAAAAGCCTCTTGGGTCAATGTGTTTTTCTTCACTTGTACTGCTGTTCCCTTCCTGGGGTTTATCTAGCAGAGGAAAGAGCAATCGTCTCTGGAGGAAGGTGGCACCCTGGTGAGCCGTTCCAGTTACTCATGCACAATGAGCCGCATTCAGTTAGAAAATGTTGGGAAGACACGGCCCATGCTGTACTCCTGGGTGTCACTGCTGGTTCTTCAGGACCCAAGGACTCTTTAGTCAGCAGGTGTTGGATCCTGCCAGGACTGGCCCTTCCCTTCAAAGTAGTGGGTTCCCTTTTGGCCCAGGGTGTGCCTAGGAATTTCATCCAGGAGGAAGGGCCTGCAATGGGGGCCTCATGCCTCTGCCCACTGCACTCTTACCGTGGTTGAGCTGGTAGCCAAGATGCGAAATGAAGTCCTCTTTATTCTTTGCTCTCCTTTTCTTAAGCAGATAGGAGGAATCGCTTTTGTGGCTATGGACTGCACTGCCTGGGGTTTGGGGAGGGATGGCACAAACACTCCCTGAGCCACACCAGTTGCTGTCTTTCTAGGACACATTCCCCCCCGCCCCAGTCCCCTGTCTGTAAGCCCAGTCTAGCTAACCTAGGACCTCAGAGAACTTCGGCCTACGGTGGTGAGACTTGTCGAGAAACTCAAGTTCCTACTCCTGGAATGAATGATTCCCGCCTGGCTCAGGCTGGTCCAAATGCTCTCTGCATATGTAGGTGCTGAACCCAGCATAGCTTTATTCTCCACTGCGACAGGACAGCACGGAGTTCAATAAAAAGTCCCTCCCACCCCAGTTACTGTGCTCTCCCTCCCCAACATGCACAGACTCTCCATGCCACACAGCTGCTGCCAGGAGATGGGGAGAAGGGGAACCAGCGAGTCAAGACTGTCTCCCCTAATGTCCTCCATACCTTTTTCAGCAATGTCAAGTTAAAAGCAGGTGCTGTGGTGGCTCACCTGGCTTTTGGCTTTGTGACAGTGCTTTTCTGAGTGCAGAGGGTGGTTAAATTTGGAAATCCAGTCGGGGACACACCGTGTAGGCTTCGATTCCACCATCTTGTTTGCTCACCTACTTACAGTTTTTGATGCTTTTGATTCAATCCTTTCCTTTTTCTTTATTTGGTTGCTGTTGAGGTGTATGTTAGTCCATTTTGGGCAGCTGTAAAGGAATACCTGAAGCTGAGTATTTTTGTACACATTTCTGCAGGATACACAAGAAGCATGGTGCTAGCATCTGCTGCTGGCGAGGGCTTCAGGGAGCTTCCAATCATGGTGAAAGAGGAAGGGGAATTGGCATTTTATGTGGTGAGGGAGAGAGCAAGAGAGAGCTGCCAGGCTCTTTCCAACAACCAGCTCTCATACGAACTAACAGAGCACTCATTACTATGGGGAGGGTCCAAAGCCATCCATGAGGGATTCACCCTTTATGACCAAAACAGTTCCCGCTAGACTCCACCTCCAACACTGGGATTGAATTTCAACACGAGTTTGGAGGGGATACATATCCAAACTGTATTCGGGGAAATTTCACTTTGTCTGAAGAACTCCCTTTAGCATTTTTTTAAATGTAGATCTATTAGTGACAAAGTTTCTCTATTTTTTCCTTCTCTGGAAATGTATATATTTGACTGTCATTTTGAAGACGATTTTGCCAGGTATAGAGCTCTAGACAGCTGTTCTTTTTCATCTCTTTAAAATAACATCTATTTCATTTCTATTGAGAGATCAACTGTCAGTGTTATTGCTGTTCTTTTGATTATATTACTTTTTTTCTCTGGCTGTTTGTTAAAACTTTCTTGCCTTTGCTTTTCAGTAGTTCATTCGTGTTTTAAGTAGTAGTGTTCTTAATAATTATCTTTGCGATTCATAGAATTGCTTGAATCCGTGACTAATTTTTTCTTTCATAAATTCTGAAAATTCTCGGGCATTACCTCTTCAGGTATTGCTTTCTACCACATGCTCTCTCACCTTGCCTTCTGGGACTCCAATTACATTTATCTTAAACTTTTTCACCATGTCCCATATATTCTTTATAATCATCTTTGCTTTCCATCCTTTTTGCTCTCCATTCTTCAATCTGGACATATTTTTACTAACCTATTTCCACCTCACTATTTTCCTTCTGTTGTGTCCAATCTGCTATTAAATCCATTTCTGTTATTCTTAGTTTCAGTAATTGTACTTTTCAGTTGCAGAATTTCTATTTGATCATTTTTTATAGATTTAAGTTCTCATGCAAAATTCTCAATCTTATTTTACTGAACACACTAGTTGCAGTTATTTTTAGATTCATGTGTGATAATGCCAGTATCTGAATCATCTTTAGATCTGCTTCTCATGTCTGTTTTTTATCTTGTCCTAGTCATTGAAATGTGCTAATTTTTTTATTGAATGTAGGAATTTTGCATGAGAAAAGAATAGAGTGTTTGGATGTTTTCCACCAGAGGAGAGTGACCCTATTGTCCTCAAAAAGCTGACATGGAATACATAAAACATCTCACATCAGTCCCATCACAGATAACCATGCTGTTCCGAGATGGTTATAAAGATCTGAGCTCTTTATAAAGGACGCCACCAGAGGGCCCCACTAAGAGTCTGGGTGTTTCCTGCGGCTTTTCTTCCTTGGTCATTCCTAAATTCCAATTTTAGTTTCCTAAATACCTTGAGATTGCAAAAACTCTGCTGCTTTTTTATCAGCTTTTCATTTTCTGACCCTACACATGTGAAGAATTCAGAAATGACTCAATGGATGAACAACAAATGTCAACTTTCCCTCTCTATGCTCCCTTCTCTCCGGGTCCTTGGCATCTCTCTGGCTGCTGTGGCAGTCTCAAGCATCAGTTTTTATTTACTGATTTCAAATCACTTCCATAAGATAACCCAAGGCTGTCCTGCCTCCTCCGCCTCCTAGCAGCCCTCCTCTTCATGGCTTCTCAGTCTCCCACCCTGTTCCCCATCTCTGGCCCCTACTCCTGCCTCAGCAAATGACCCAAGAAAAAAGAAGCACACAGAATGTGGAGCCCATGCTCAGAGATCTCTCCCTCTATCTGGATCTTCATTCCTCAAAATCTAGCTGTCTCAGAGGCACTCTGGTGCTGTCAAAGAGACACATTTTTATAATTTATTGGGCTTTTCAAGTTGTTCTCACAAGGACCATTGGCAGAACTAAAAGGAAAGTCTCTGTCATATTTAAATTTTGCTTTCTTAATGAAAATGGTCTTTCCTTGGTAGATAACATGAGCAAATGAACAATTTTCTTCCACCATCCACTAAGTTTGAAAAGAGAAAGTAAAAAGATACCATATTATCATTGCATAAGGAAAAATTGTATGCACACTATCTTGTTTGAGAAAATGTCTATTTATGTTTGCTTTTTTAAAATGTGGATCTCGGTGGGGTCAGAAACAGGAGCAAAGTTTCTGCTACTCTGTCCATCCCAGAAAAGCCCCAGTTATGTGCCATCATCCTCTATGATATACACTCAATTTCACCAAAGCAAATTGTGATTTACCTGATCGCAAAACCTCTTCTGATTAAAATTAAATATTGTAATTTCAGATGATATTTTTTGTTATCAGAGTAACTTTGCTGTATTCTTTGT
Source organism: Homo sapiens (assembly GCF_000001405.40). Lineage (NCBI taxonomy): Eukaryota > Metazoa > Chordata > Mammalia > Primates > Hominidae > Homo > Homo sapiens. Next base: position 75,581 of record NT_187679.1, read on the forward strand.
TACTAGCAAAACTAGGGATATTTGGTAGTTAATGGTCCTCACATCAAGAAAAATGTGCAGAACTCTTTCATGATTCATTTAGAAATAGGCAATCTGCCTAGTTCATGCTCACACCAAACAGAGGGCTTGAAGTCCTAACAAATTTCTTCCAGAACTAGAGTGAAATAATCACTAGACATAAGAATTTCTAATATTGAACACAGAAATAAGAACAGCACATCTGTATTTATATTATTATCTCTTGAGAATGTCAAATTATATTTTCTATACAATTAGTCTATTCTTACCTATGTTTACATACATACATTATGTTTGCCAAATAGGTGTTACTGAATAGTTTTGTAAAAATCAAAACACATTTCAAACTCTACAAATGAGCATTGTATTTAAATGGATCACATGTTAAATAATTTTCTAAACGGAAGAACCTCTCCAATTACTTTTCAGACATGTAGACGGCCAATAGTTTGATTAGATATTAGTGACGGTAATGAGTTCTGACTCCCCTTCACTATTCCTCTCTCCATCTAATAGGGTTCAATCATAGAGCTTGTAAGGATTAATTCCTTATTAATATGTTCAACCAAGGCTGATTGATAACCCTCTATGGCTTTTTTGGAAGTCTTTCTCACTAAATTACACCTGCTAGAGGATTCTAGCAGATAAGTCATGAAGGCAACCTTAAAATGAATAGCCACACTTAACCTCTCTGTATATTTATTAACCAATCTGTCATCACCCCAAGTTGTGTGCAGAGCACCAAATTAAAGAATGGCATGTCTTCCCTGCTGGTTAAGCAAGCAAAGTACAGTCATGCATTGCTTAACGACTGGGATACCTTCTGAGAAATGTGTCATTAGGCGATTTTATCATTGTGTGAACACAGATGGTACTTACACAAACCAAGGTGGTACAGCCTGCTGCACACCTGGGCTATATAGTATAGCACACCCGGGTTGTATAGTATAGCTTACTGTTGTGAGGCTACAAACTTGCATAGAATGAGACTGTTCTGAATACTGTAGGCAATTATAACACATTGCTAAGTATTTGTTTATCTAAACATAGAACAGATACAATCAAATACAGTACAAAAGATTATAAATGGTACACTTACCATGAATGGAACTTGCAGGACTGGAAGTTTCTCTGGGTGTCAGTGAGTGACTGGTGAGGGTATGTGAAGGCTTAGGACGTTACTGTCCACTACTGTAGATGTTATAAATGCTGCACACTTAACCTCAGCTTACTGTAACATTTTTACTTTATTAACTTTTTGACTGTTTTGTAACAACATCTAGCTAAAAATGCAAATACATTGTACAGTTGTACAAGAATAGAAAGAAAAATATTTTTAATAGAAAGAAAAACATTTTCTCTTTCTGTTCTTATTTTTTCAGACTTTTTTAACTTTTTTTTTACTTTCTACACTGTTTTATTAAAACTTAAGACACAAATACACACATTAGCCTAGGCCTGCACAGGGCCAGGATCATCAACGTCACTGTCTTCCACCTCCACATCTTGTCCCACTGGAGGGTCTTCAGGAGCCACAACACGCATGGAGCTGCCATCTCCTGTGATAGCAACGCTTCTTTTGCATACCTCCTGAAGGATGTGACATTTTACAGTTAACTGTTTACACTTAACTTTTTTCTAAGAGTAAAAGGAAAACACTCTAAAATAATTATAAAAGTATAGTATAGCAAATACACACAGCAGTAACACAGCTGTTTATCATGATCAATTTTTATGTATTGTGTGTCATTATAGCTGCTACACTGTTATGTGAATGGCAACGCAGTAGGTTTGTTCACACCAGCATCACCACAAACGCGTGAGTAATGTGTTGTGCTAAGACCTTCAGGTGATTACAGTGTCATAGGCCACAAACATTTTCAGCTCCATTATAATCACATGGAACCACAGTCATATACGCAGGCTGTTGTTGACTGAAGTGTCCTTATGCAGTGCATGACTGTACTAAGCTTAATAACCACCCATAGTCATTCAGGGAGGGATGTCTTTCTTTTGGTCGCCCTGCCAACATGGTCAGCATTAGTTTGAGAATGCATTGAGGCTGGGCTCATGCCAGTAATCCCAACACTTTGGGAGGCCAAGGTGGGCAGATCACTTGAGGTCAGGAGTTCAAGACCAACCTGGCCAACATGGTGAAACCCCATCTCTACTAAAAATACAAAAATTATCTGGGTGTGATGGCAGACTCCTGTAATCACAGCTACTCAGGAGGCTGAGGCCAGAGAATCACTTGAACCCAGGAGGTGGAGGTGGCAGTGAGCCAAGATTGTGCCACTGTATTCCAGCCTGGGCAACAGAGTGAGACTCCAACTCAAAAAGCAAACAAACAAACAAACAAACAAAAAAAGAATGCATCGAATAACAGGATTAGTGCAGGCTGGAGGGGCTGACCAGCCTCATGCAAGTCTTGGCTCTGTCCCAGCTTTGTGGTCCTGGGGATCTTTCTCCTAAATCTCTTAAATCAGTCCCAAAATAAGAGTTAATGCCATATATGACATAAAGTTTTTAAGTACTATATAAAATATTAAATAATAATTATTTTAAATATTAAATAATAATTATTTTAAATTAACTTAAAATTCTACATGAATCTATTTATAAGTTCTGAAATAATGTAAAAAGGTAAAGAATGGTCTTTATGTTATTATCATTATTGCCCCAAGTTAATATAAAAGTGGTGCTAGTGATTTAGAAGACCTAGATAGCCTAACTATGTAGGTGCTACTACTAGTTATGTATTTATTTTAAGTAATATGCTATATGGCATATAGTTCATTACAACAAATAATTTAATTCCTATAACTTTTACAGAAGATATATTTCTATTTATGAACCTAATTTAAATCCTGTTGTACTATAATTGTGGTTAGCTGCATTCCAGGAACATAAGCACTTGGAAAAGAGATAGTTGTTCATTAAGAAAATAAAATTGCCTTAATCTCATCGTGACTTTTACACTGATTTCTTGTCAGTGTTTAAGCTGTGTTCAGAGGGGATGAACAGAGCGGAAATGTGCTAGAGGGATGATTGAATAAATTAGGTTCTGTGACCCAATCCATGCCTGGGAATGTGGTTTCACATATTCTATATATCCACAGTATAAACTCAGGAATAAAAAGAAGCTAAATCACCTGCGTTATTATAATCAACAGTTTAAGGCTCAATGCCTTCTCCTTTCAAACCAAAAAATTCTATCATCCATCTTCCTTTCTTCCTCCTTCCCTCTTCCCTGCTTTCCTCTGTCCTTCCCTCCCCCCTTTTCTTATTTTGTTCTCCTTCCTTTTGCCTTCCTTCCTGCATTTCTTTCTTTTTCTAACAGTTGCATTTCTTGGTGCTACTTCACTCAACTCTTCATTAACTTACCATTAAGTATGAAGTCATGTTCGACTCCCGCCAGCCCAAATGCTGTCCATTACCGGAATCTGGGTTTCCACAGGGGATTTCCTCTGTGTCAGTGACACATAACAGAGTCCAAGATACTGACCATTGGTTACAATGTCTGTAAAGAGTGACTTTACTCACGTGACACATCAAACCCTTCCAGTGTGTGAGAAAATGAGAAAAAAGAAAAGTGTCTAAGAATAAATATAGGACTGCTATATCTTGCAAATATCAAAAAAGAATAGTATCAAAGCTGGGTCTATTTGACCTTGGCTATGGCTGCTGATGCCATTCACATCAGACTATAGATTGTTCATCAAAGTTAAGCAAACATACTGTGTAAAATAGTTGCTTAATTTATTTGAGCCTTGGTCGATCGCTCACTGAAAAAACTTCTGAAATCTCTGCTATGTGTACAGCATTCCACACGCCTTATGTTAGCTGGTAACCCTCTGTCTCTTTAGGGCTTGTGGTGAGAGTCAAATGTGTATGTTGCTATATATTCTTAACTGTCAACTGCTGAAGAATGTCAGGATGAAGTCCTAAGACTGGAGATGGGGAGAGCTTAGCAGCTATTGATGAAATATTGATGAAAAAACTACACATTTCTAGTTTGGTCTAACCAACATATAAAGATCTAGTATAGTGCCTACTACACAGTATGTACTGAATATATATCTGTGGAATCAATGAATGTATTGATTCATGAGAGTATCTGTTTACTCAGAATCTTTCAGTAGTAATTAAGAATGGCACCTCATTATTTCTATACATACCTCATTATTACTTTTTTATAAAACTGATGAATTCAAATGGTGGCAAGTGTTCCTCAACAAGGAGTACCTTCAGAACCCCAAGGCATGTGTAAAAAATGCTTTGCACTGCGCAAGCTTCAGATAGCTAAATAGACTGCAAAATATCTTACCAGTAAGGAAAGCAATAATTGAACACAAAACTTTTCTAAACAAATTTAGTCTTCAGTGACTTATTCAATTGACTTTAGATAGAGGCCGACAGAAGCAAAAGTGACTGGAGCCCCCATTTGGAGGTGATGGTGGTAACCTGATTAATTTCCAAAATGAAATGTGAAGATACACTAGTAACTTGATTAACACTCCCCCTAAAATAAAACCAATAGAATTTGAGAAACAAAAACTACCATTCAGGCTGTTTATATGAAGTCTCATTAATATTCACAACAATCAAGAACCCAATTTCGTAAGTAACTGTTATGCCAGGCACTCCATACCACTCAGGATTGGAAGAACCAGGCTGGAAACTGAGGTTTGTGTATCGACGAGAGCTATAGTTATTCAGTCAAATCAGTCAAGTCTCCAATCCCTCATCCAGTGGTGGAGAGATTTGAGTTTGTTTTGCCTGATATTGTTTTAGTTTTAGAATTTGTATAAAAACTAAAAATACATTAAACTTATTCTGTTGTTATTTTCCACATTTTGAATAATGCATATTTTTTGGTTATAAAAATGTTGGAGAAATACAAAAGAATAGAGCAATTCAAAAAGCAGAAATATCACTAGTTATGCCTCTAGGCAGACACAGTCATTGTTCACATTTGGTGCCTATTCTTCTTCTATTTTTATGTATGTGTATGTATATGTATGTTTATGTTTATGTGTGTGTGTGTGTATATATATATATATATATATATACACTCATTTAAAATGTCATCACTTCAATTGTCATTATAACTTTTTGAAAACAGGATTTTTTTATGGCTGCCTTTTTCCATTTTTTGGTTATACCACCACTTCCTTAGACACTGTTTCTGTTGAACCTTTACTTATTTCCAATTTTGTTTACATGAATTCTGTTGCTACTTTTTTCTAAATGTACGTCTTTGGAAGCCAACAACTGAGCTATTTAATCCATGAAAATATTTTTGAAAGCAATTCTTTTGCAAAAAAGACTTGTGGAAAAGCTGGTCCTCTATAAAAATTGATTGTCATTTTATCACATCTCAGGGGTTGTGAGTTTGATGAAGTGCTTATATATTTTCAAGCTCAGATACAATCAGACAATATTTCCTTCTCAAAATGTGTGATCACCATTTCTTCTCTAATTCCTTCCGTTGTTTATTACTGAATCTTGCTGATTTCCTTTATACACTTTCCAGTGAGCCACCTAACACAATAATCACACACTGAGATGATAGATAGAAAAGGCCGCTCTCAAAAACTACTTGCAAAAAACAATACCTTTGGTGAGTCTGATACTCAAAGCGCACTCAGGCTAAACACTAGGGCTTTAAATTAAAGGGATTTATGATGCTATGCTGTCCAAACATTTATAATTGGCAAAAACTCACTTCTAAGTTTAAAACATAATGCAAAAAGAGTACATGCAAATCATTTCACCAGCCATCCATCAGTGCTTTAAACCAAATTAGACTCTTGAGAAGCAAAAAAAAAGAAAAAAAATTATTTATGATAGTTGAGAGGATTTTATTTTTTGTTACATGAGAGGGAATCAACAGGACTCAAATTCAAATCAGTGAATTCATTTGAAAAGATATATAAATACAAAATTGGCAGATGATAGCACTGTGCTAGCAAACAAAGGAGAAAAATCAGGTTTAATGAATAGAAGCTTTACGGAAGGTTTAGCCAGAAACTGCCACGCTAGTTTCTTTTGGTCAACACGTCTTCCAAGTCTCCATCTCTGACACTGGCGCACACTCCAGGCATGGAGAGAGGCCAGAACTAACAGAAGAAAACAGAGTTGCAGGAAAGAGCGTCCTCAGGCTCCAAAACAGAAGGTACAATAACCAGAGACTTAGGCATCTGCAGAAGCTCCAGCACCAACGCCATTTTACTGAATGCTGGAAGTTAAAGAAGAAGAAAAGTCATGAAAATATCAAATACTCTTAAAAACATATGTTTCTTTAAAAAGAAAATGTCTTGAACATTAAAGGTCTTATGCTTAAATAAGCAACAAGGAGCATTATCAACTGCATGCTCACGGCAACATCTTGTTGGTATTTTGCTTTGTGTACTCAGAGGGCCAAACGTGTTTGCAAGATAAACAGCCTGAAAGTCTACCCTGCCCCAGAAAACCACATGGGGGACAAAAAAAAAAATTTAAGGCTGAATTTGGAGAATTTAGTATTTCAGAAACAATTGCTATATGTGTGATTTTGTTTACACTTTCTATGATTTCTTTTACTACTGGATCTTTAAAATATATATATCAAAAGCCTGGTTCGCTTTATTTCCTTTTCAACTCAGACATCATTTTCTTCCTTCTCCCTTCTTTTCATTTCTTTTCTTTTTCTCTTCTTTCTTGTCTTCTGCCTCTTCCTTTCTCCTTCTCTTTCTCCTTCTTCATCCTGTTTGCCTTGCCTTCTTCCTCCTCCTCTTCCTCTTTCTCCTCTGCTTCTCTCTCTCTTTTTCCCCTCTCTTCCTCTCCCTCTACCTAAATCCAAAATTGTAGCAGAAGTGTTTATGTTGGTGTCAAAAGGTCATGTTAGTGGTGAGATTTTGACTGACAGTTGTCAATTCTGGTGAGAGCCTATAGAGTGGACTTGAAATTGGGTTTGTGACTATAGCATGCTGACTCACAAAAGAAGAAATAGATATATATATATTTATATTTATATTTTTATATTTTTATATATAATTCTTTTTCCTGGGCCAGCCTAGAGGTGAAAGCAGTTGATCACAAGGCCAGATCATGCCATCTGGATTCTTCTAAAAAGGTACAGAATTAATAAACAGGAAGATTTACAAATCCTAGTACTGGACATTTTCCAATTCTAAAAATTGCTTATTTTTTCTTTGCTAGTGACATTTTTTTCAATGTAAAATTACCATGAACATTAGGAAATATTGTATGCAAATAGCACTCGAGGAGAAACACTTATCATCCAACTTCTGAATTTATTATTCAGGGGAAATAAAAATGTAAATTGATTGCAAATAAAGCTGCCAATTAAACTTATAAATTTTTCAAATATTCCTGTGATGACAGAGGCAAAAGCTTTTTTCCATTTTAATTTACTTATACTCTGAACAAAACAGAAGCCATGCTACAGAGGAGCATCAGGCAAGAAAAACAAGAGGTAGAGTGATGAAAGTTAAAATCAACGTGTTTCTTTCATGCCAGACGCGGTGGCTCATGCCTGTAATCCCAGCACTTTGGGAGGCCGAGGCAGGTGGATCACTTGAGGTCAGGAGTACGAGACCAGCCTGACCAACATGGTGAAATCCCATCTCTACTAAAAATACAAAAATTAGCTGGGTGCGGTGGCAGGTGCCTGTAATCCCAGCTACTCGGGAGACTGAGGCAGGAAGAATCACTTGAACCTGGGAGGCAGAGGTTGCAGTGAGCCAAGATCGCACCACTGCACTCCAGCCTAGGTGACAGAGCAAGACTCCATCTCAAAAAAAAAAAAAATCTATTTCTTTCAGAGATTAATGATTTTCTTAGTGTACATCATGAAAAGAACAGTGTATTTACAATGAGCTACAAGTATTACCTATATTTTGTAGAGAATTACAATATTGCATGTTTTTAATTCAAAACTAAAAAGAAAACTATGATGTCCACAATGAAAATCAAATCACATAGTCAAAATTTAGCAGGATTTTTGTTACTAGCCTTTAGTGAAATACCTCTTCTCTTGAAACAGGTGTCATTTATTTTCAAGTAGGTTTCTAGGTTGAAACCTTTTTTGGCTTTTTAATCTTAGGTCAACAGTGGAAATGTTAGCACAAGGAAAGTTAATACCGATTTTCTCACCTTAGACTAACAAGGTTTCTGGATTGCATTGGCAAACTATTCAATAGAAATTTATAAAGGATACTTTAAGAGCAGGAAATCCCTTGTCAGGCAGAAAGCACTATAGGCAGACAATTCTCATGTCCAATGACTCCTACATTAAAAACAAATGTTTCATATGATTGAAATCATTTCATTACCCAGCTCATTCCTCTTATCTGGAGGTAATTTTTAACAGACTCCAGCCTCTTTTCCAGACACAAATTTCCAGCCACTCTCCTTCATGCCCCAAGAGGCCATTTCATAAGCAAGCTAACATCAATTCAAACAAGATTCATTTTTTCCATCACTTTACACCCTAGAAAACTGATACAGACTTCCCCAGTTGAAGTTTAATACAGAACATAGGTTTATGAAGTGTGGAACCTCATTTCAAATGTACACATAATATATCGATATAGACTTTGGGAACATTTTCAAAGAATACAAATGTGCTAGGCCCAAGGCTTAAATGGTCCTTTTCACCGAAATACAGCTCATAAAAGATTTCAGAAGGTCAGAAAACTTTAAAATTTAGTGCCCTTGTTTGAGCTTTCCCAGAATGTTTTAATTTAGAAACTAAATTGTATATCCAGCATGCAAATGTGTAGTGTAAGCAATTCATTAGATTAAACATATTTGACCACTGAGGACCTGATTATGAATTTCAAAGCCTGAGTTCTTAGAGAAAAGGTGCATGAGTTAAAAACCATGATGACAATCAATAATATATGATAATACATGAATAACAAAATGTCCCCAGACTCAATAATGTGGTTACTCTTAGTAGATACGCACTGAAGACCATGGTGATTCAAATTCTATATCCTGCCTGAGAAATGTCAACAAGGGATCTGATGTAATGCGCACAATTGTCTTTTACATGACATCTTTCTTAAAAGCTTGGAAATGTACACCAGTCATATCCACCCTTCCTTACGGGTATGATATGTATTATGAAACCCTTCATATGTAAATTTATATTTTATCCTGAGAAATATGCTCTGTAATTAAATTGGACTATGCAAAAATAGCTTTTTTTTTTTTTTTTTTTTTTTACTTAGTACAAACTGTCGTTTCTGGTTAATGGTTTTCTCTCTTCAAGGTAAGCATCCCACTTCATTCATTCAACAAATGTGTATTGGTGCCTATTTCATGTTAGGTGTTGACATATAAAGCTGAAAAAATATTTTGCCTTTCAGAAGCTAAAAATTAAGAAACCTGGAATTAGGTTTAGGGATTTTTTTGCTTTTTATTTTTAAGAAGATTTGTTCAACTTCCATCCATATGCCTTTCATGATATTTTTATTTGATTTACTTCCATCATTTTTATTTTATGCTGACTTATAAACATGATTTCTTCTCAAAAAGATGAATTTAAGATGTGATGGTTAATTTTATGTTTCAAGTTGACTGGGTTAAGGGATGCCTAGATAGCTGGTAAAATATTATCTCTGGGCATTTCTGTGAGCATGTTTCCAGAAAGGGCAGCATTTGAATCAGCAGACTAAGTAAAGAAAGCTTGCCCTCACCAATGTGGGTGGATGTCATCCAATCCATTGAGAGCCCTGATAGAATAAAAACAAATAAACAACCAACAAAGAACAGAGCAGCAAGGGCAAATGTGCACCTGCTTGAGCTTGTGCATCCTTCTTTTCCTGCCCTTGGGCATAGGTACTGCTGCTTCTCCATTCTTTCGACTTGAATTCTACCAACAGCTTTCCTTGTTCTCCAGCTTGCAGATGGCAGATTGGGGGAACTTTTCAGCCTCCTCCCTAATTGCATCAGCCAATTCTCTCTCTCTCTCTCTCCCTCTCTCTACACACACACACACACACACACACACACACACACACAAAAATTGGTTTCATATCTCTGGAGAACCCTAACAAAGAAAAAGCAACCTGTGATTCTACTACTCAGAAAGAATCTCTGCAATTGATTTGTGTGCTGTCTTTCAATGTTCCCTTCCACACGATCATGCTTGCAAGTCTATCCGTCACAGGGAGGAGCCCTCTAGTCAGAAGCAGATTGACCGCCCCTTCACTGGCCTCCAGGCCTCTATTTGTAGAAGTCAGGTGGGACATTCCCAGCTCTGAATACACCTGACCAGGTCTCCTAACCACTGCCTGCCTCACTCCATCGTGACTAATCTCACTGCACTGTTTATCCCTATTAATGTCAGGCACAAAAGAAGCTGAGTCTTCCCACTTTTCTCTAGTGTCCTGGCCTCTCATCTGCTTCTGAATCACCTTCTCAGAACTTATACTTTAATATTATTCTTAACTTATAGTTTCCCATCACCTCAAACCCTTACTCTGTGCCCCCAGAAGCTCTCATGTAATCAGACTTTCATTCAATCCTCTGTATCCTTAATACATTTTCTTAACTGTTTTTGGTGGCTTTCTGCTCTGAGAATACTGTGTCCCCTGAAGCCTTTCTTGAAAGTGAGAGATATGTCTTTTTGGCACCTTGCTGCTGCATCTGGACCATTCTCCTACAACATGCTTTGAATCTCATGTTGTTGGAGGCTAGTCACCTTCAAAGGTGGAGTTGAGACAGCCAGATGGGAGGGAGTCCCTGGATAAACTCCAACCAGCCTGCCCACTGAGGTGGAGCCTCGGGAAGTTCACGACCTTTGCAGCAGGGAGGAGCCTGGCCTCTCTTTCCCTGGGTGGAATCTGGGATTCAAGCTGCTGGTGGGAAGTGCTCTAGCAGGGACTCTGGCCTAGCAAGAGTCTCTGTCTCTCCATTTTCTTCCTTTTCACGTAATAAAACCATGTCTCACTCACCATTGAAATTGTCTGAGAGCCTGAATTTTCATGGTCATGGGACAAAGGACCCTGTCTTTACCTGAACTAAGGAAAAGCCCCGAACAGAGTCACCCTCATTCCTGGCAGAGTTCCCCTATCCGTCTGACCACTGGCTTGCACATGCCCCTGGTTTTACTTCTAACTCACCAACCACTTCTCAGCCACCTTTGCTGCTCTGCTTTGTCTCTGACTTCTAAATGTTGGAGGACTTTGGCCCTTAGTCCTTTGATCCAGGTCTAATTGGGTCTCAGAGTCCTAATTACCTCCCAGAGAGCCGTCCTGATTTCTTCTGTCTAAATTTAAATTGGTCCCATTCTTTCGGTTGCTCAGACAAAAGTTAACATCATCCTTATAGAGGCATCCTTCACTTTACTCTTTCTCTTTCACGGTCATCTAATACATCAACACATTTACATCCTAAATTCCAGGTTCTACAATCTCTAACGCGTGTCCTTTTTCACATTTTAAGATCTCTAAAATTGGTTATGGAAAAATGAATTAAATCATATCTGAATTGGAAGTTCTAATTGAGAGCCTCAATTGTGTATTTTCTTTGTGAGTTAAAATTCTTTGCTTAAAACCTTCCAGTGGGTTCTATTTTACACTGGTTAAACTCAAAGTCATTAAAATCACTGAAAAATGCCCACACTTTCTGCTCGCCTTACCTCTGTGTGAATTTTCCCTTTGGTCAGTTCTTCCAGCCATGTTGGCCTTGGGGCACACAGGTGTCTCAGGCACTTTCCACTGTTCCCGCGGCTTTGGATGCTGGTCTTTTACATAGTCACATGTGTCACCTCCTCGCCCTCCTCAGGTCTTTCCACAGAATCCCCACCTCAGTCAAGCCTTCCCCGCCCGTCATATTTAAACCCACAGCACCAGTCCCTCCAGTGTTCCCTGCTGCACTTCTTTATTACACTTTACACCTTAGCACTCACTACTTCATAACATGCCGTGTATTTACGTGCTTATGTTGCTTCTCTTGCTATCTCTTGTCTCCTGCTAGAAAGTATCATAAAGGACAAAAGTTCCCTATTCTTCAGTTTTGCGCTTTAATTCATTTCCCTAGCCTTTGTGATGAAACTACACCGGGCCAAAAATTGGTGGTTAATACTTCTTTATGAAATAAATGAATATTTAATGTAGATGTAATTCCTCTTTTATAAAATTAGGGCCAAGTTGGGTATATGTCTACTCCTCGTATCAGTAGCAATTTGGAGAATACACAGTTGATTTTTATCTGGGATAAATTAAATTTGAATATCTTAAATATGTATTTTAATTTTTAAAAATGTAATTAGATTATTATAATTATAATTCATATTATAAATATTATAACGATATCTGATAATTGCAGATCACATTTAGTAAGCATTTCATATATCAATTTTTATGCTAAATATATTTATTTAATATTTGATTCAATTTTCATTATATGCCTTTGAGTTAGGTGATATAACCCTGTTTTAGAAATTAGAAAAGTAATTCTCAGAGAAATTAAATGAGTAGCTCAAGTATCCCAGTAGCACAAGAGCTAGAGGGCTGGCATTCCAATTCAAATCCAACCCATTCAAAATCCTGTTCTAAATAATTCATTATTCAGCCTCTGAAAGTCAAATGCAGAAACTATGGGGAGAATCACACTGGTTGTATCTGCAACACTTGTTCAGATGGACCTAGTTCTGCTGTTTATCACCAGGTCTTCTATCCAGAGGCACCCCTGTCCATGGGTTCTTTATTTGCATTCTCTTGCAATCAGCTGCTGTGATTCATAGATGTATATGTGACCTTTGCAGAAGTTGGGGCTCCAACATCATCTGTGATACTCTGTAAATAGTCTGGTTTTGCTTACTGATTTTTTGTTTCTTTCCTGTTTTGTTTTGTTACACTATGGTTGCCTGCCCGAAGTAGAAATACATGCTTCCTTGTTCAACTTTGGTGAAGAGAGAAAGCATCTTCCACAGCATGAAAGCCTTTTACTTCTGTCTGGTTGAACCAAATAGGACATGTGCCTTCTTATGGACCCACAACTGTCACCTAGGGAATGCTGGCCTGGATGGACAAAGCCTAGTTTCCCCAACCAATCGGCTGTTAGAGGCATGGGGTCACTGTGGCTAGCTTAATCTAAGGAGAATTCGTGCTTGGAGGTGAGGATGGAGTGGCCTTCCAGGGAGACACTTGAGGTGTGTGATTGGATAAGAAAAGATGCTCCGTGACTTGCCAGGATTAGCTTAGGTCAGACAAGCTGAGATTTCATTAGGTGGAGATCAGCCTGGATACCTGTTTATTTCTTTCAGATGCAGCTTCCATGAACAAAGGGGAGTTTACATTTGCTCTACATTTTCCCTATAGCTTGAGTATCTGGTAGTCTGCAGAGGGTGGTGAAGAAAGCAGAAAAGGAAGAAATCATGGTGAGAATTTTGGTTTTTTATACTGTGTCTCCCGTCATGGTTTGGTGCAGCAGTGAGACGTTAAGTTCCATGAGGGCCCCATTTTTCTGGTACTGTTATTCCTGGTGTCTACTGAGGCTATGCCCTGCCCAGTGGTGGCACCTGATCTGTTGGTGAGAGCAAGAACATGTCCCCTCCCTCTGACCCACTCTCATCAAGATCCTCACCTCTCAGATGCAGGAGGTTGATAGGGTTTGGATCTGTGTCCCCACCTAAATCTCAGGTTGAATTGTAATTCCCAGTGTTGAAGGTAGTAGGGCCTGGGGGGAAGTGATTGGATTATGGAGACAGTTTCTCATGAATGGTTTAGCACCATTCCTGGTGATGCTGTTCTTGAGATAATGAGCAATTTCTCATGAGATCTAGTTGTTTAAAAGTGTGTGGCAACTCCCTCCAGTCTCTACTACCTTCTACTCTGGCCATGTGAGACAGCTTGTGCCCCCTTTGCCTCCACCAGGATTGGAAGATTCCCGAGACCTCTGCAGAAGCAGAAGCTGCAATTCGTCCTGTACAGCCTCTAGAACTGTAAGCCAAATAAACCTCTTTTCTTGCAAAGTACCCAGTCTCCAGTATTTCTTTATAGCAGTGTGAGAAAGGACTAATACAGAAAATTGGTACCGAGGAATGAGGCATTGCTGTAAAGATACCTGAAAATGTGGAAGTGGCTTTAGAACAGGTGATGGACAGAGTTTGCAAAAGTGTGAAGGGCTCAAAAGAAGACAGGAAGATGAGGGAGAATTTGGAATTTTCTAGAAACTTGTTGAATGGAGTGATTTGAACAATGAAGAGGACTCTGATGGATGTAGGAACTTATTGGGAACTGGAACAAAGGTCACTTTTGTTAAGCTTTAGCAAAGATCCTGGCTGCACTGTGCACCTACTTTAGAGATCTGTGGAATTTTGAATTGAGAGTGATAATTTAGGGTATCCAGCAGAAGAAATTTCTAAGCAACAAAGAGTTCAAGATCTGACCTGGCTGCTTGTAACAGCCTATGCTCATATGTGTGAGCAAAGAAATGATCTGAAACAGGAATTTATATTTAAAAGGGAAGCAGAGCATGAAAGTTTGGAAAATTTGCAGTCTGGCCATGTGGTAGGAAAGGAAAGCCTATTTTTAGGAAAGAAATTCAAGCACGCTGCAGAAATTTGCATAACCAAAAGCAAAGCAAGTGCTGATAGTCAAGACAAAGGAGAAAAGGCCTCTAAGAAATATCACAGACTTTCATGGCAGACATTCTCATCACAGTCTTAGAGGCCTAGGAGGAAAAAATGGTTTCCTGGGGAAGGCCCAGGCCCCTGCTGCCCTGTGCAGCCTCAGGACACTACTTGCTGAATACCAGGCACTCCAGCTGCAGCTGTGGCTCAAAAAGACAGGTACAGCTTGGTCACTACTTTACAGGGTGCAAGTTGTAAGTCTTGGCAGCTTCCATGTGGTGTTAAGCATGCAGGCACACAGACTGCAGGAGTTGACCCTTGGGAGCATCCACCTAGATTTCAGAGAATGTCTGGAAAAGCCTGTATTTTCAGGCAGAAGCCTGCTGCAGGGGCAGAGCCCTCATGAAGAACCTCTACTAGAGGACTGTGGAGGGGAAATATAGAGTTGGCTCCCCCTCACAGAGTCCCCCCTGGAGCACTGCCTAGTGGAGCTGTGAGAAGAGGGCCACCATTCTCCAGACCCCAGAATGGTAGATCCACTGTCAGCTTGCACCCTGTGCCTGGAAAAGCCATAGGCACTCAATGCCAACCCATGAGAGCAGCCATGGGGGCTGAACCTTGCAAAGTCACAGAGGCAGAGCTGCCCAAGGCCTTGGGAGCCCTCCACTTGCATTAGTGAACCCTGGTTGTAAGACATGGAGTCAAAGGAGATTATTTTGGAACATTATGGTTTAATGGCTGCTGTGCTGGGTTCTGGACTTGCGTGGGGCCTGTAGACCCTTTCTTTTGGCTGATTTCTCCATTTTGGAACAGGAGTATTTACCCAATGCCTGTATCCCCATTATATCTTGGAAGTAACTAACTTATTTTGATTTTACAGGCTCATAGGTGGAAGGAAGTAGCCTTATCTTAGATGAGAGTTTGAACTTTGGAGTTAATGCTGAAATGGGTTAAGATTTTCAGGGATTTCTGGGAAGGCATGATTATATTTTGCAATGGAAGACGGATATAAGATTTGGGAAGGGCTAGGGGAGAAATGATGTGCTTTGGATCTGTGTTCCCATACCAAATCCCATGTCAAATTGTAATCTCCAATGTTGAAGGTGGAGCCTGGTGGGAGGTGATTAGATCATGGGGGTGGTTTCTTATGAATTGTTTAACACCATCCCTGGTGGTTCTGTTCTTATGATAGGGAGTGAGTTCTTGTGAGATCTGTTTGCTTAAAAGTGTATGGCACCTCCCTGCTCTCTCCCTTCCTTCTCCTCCAGCCATGTGAAGTGCTTCACCTCCCATTTGCCTTCTGCTGTGATTGGAAGTTTCCTGAGGTGTCCCCAGAAACAGAAGCAGCTATGTTTCCTGTATACCCTAGAGAACCATGAGCCAAAAAAACTTCTTTTCTTATGAATTACCCAGTCTTTAGTACTTCTTTAAAGCAGTGGGAGAATAGATTAATACAGAGGTATTCCAGAATCTTGCCCAGGTTTTCTCCACTCATTTTTCATATTTTGAATTGCCCCAAAGTCTTTTTGCTCTCTGTATAAACATGCCAAATACTTAGCAGATATTCTTAAGTTTCTACCATTTGTATGACAGCCTTTTCTAGGATTCAGTAATGTGGACGTTTTTCATTGCTTTTCCTCTTCTCTAACTCACTTGTCATGCCAATAGAACACTGAAGAAGGAGAAGGGAATTGGAGATCTCACCACAGGAGAATAAGGTTCTCTCTGGTTAAGAGGCTAGGCTCTGGAACTGGGTGAAAAGATCATATGCCAGCTCTGTTGCTTACCAGATTAGACAGTTATTTAACCACGGGGCCTTTCTGTCTGCCTCTGTAAAATGGGAATTATACTAGTGCCAGCTCCACATGATGGCCAAGAGGATTAAACAGTTTTTCACATGTTAACTTAGAAGTATGTTAAACCAACCAGTGAATGTCTAGTATTATCAATATTATGTCATACCTAAACCTAATTTCAAAGATTTCTTCTTAAAGTTTGTATTTATACAGTATACTCTGTCTCTTTTACTCATTTTGTTGGCCTTCCCTAGCCCACCATAGTTTCCATAGACCTTTGTTGAAATATGGTAACTAAAATATATACTATATCCCAGGTATTCAACAGGAGAATGCAATATCTGTGTTGTTTCTAGTTTTGTTTCTAATTATTTATTACACTGAAATACTAGGTATGGCTAGCCTGAAATTATTTACAGTAATTAGGGATAGCAAATGTATCAATAAACTGAATATCTGAAAAATATAATTAAAAAATTAGTGTACCTTTTGTAGTGATATTAAAACACAATTCCAAATTCTCTGACTTGCCTTCCATCAGGAAATGGATCTAGGTCCCCTCTCTTAAATCTGAACAATTTGGTTGCTTGGTTAATAGAATACAGTAGAATGGGTGATGACCTAGGTCTTAACAAATTGGTAGTGTCCAGTTTCCGCCTCTGAAAAATCTCACTTTTTAAACATAGCCACTGTGCAGTCAGAGAAATCCCCGGTGGCCTGTGGAAAAGCCCATGTGAAGAGGAATAGAAGTCCTAGTCCCTAGGCCAGCTGGGCCTCCAGGTGACATCCAGCACCCACTTCCCAACTTATGAGTGTCCAGGCACCAGCCATCGCCCAGTTCCCGACTTATGAGTGTCCAGACACCAGCCAGCGCCCACTTCCCATCTCATGAGTGTCTAGGCACCAGCCATCGCCCACTTCCCGACTTATGATTGGCCAGACACCAGCCAGTGCCCACTTCCTGACTTATGAGGGTCCAGACACCAACCAGCACCCACTTCCCAACTTATGATTGTCCAGACACCAGCCAGCACCCACTTCCCAACTTATGAGTTTCCAGACACCAGCCAGCACCCACTTCCCAACTTATGAGTGTCCAGGCAACAGCCATTGCCCATTTCCCAACTTATGATTGTCCAGACGCCAGCCATCACCCATTTCCCAACTTATGATTGTCCAGTCGCCAGCCAGCGCCCACTTCCCAACTTATGATTGTCCAGGCGCCAGCCATCGTCCGCTTCCCAACTTATGAGTGTCCAGGCACCAGCCAACACCCATTTCCCAACTCAAGAGTGTCCAGACACCAGCCATCGGCCACTTCCCGGCTCATGAGTGAGCCATCTCGGAAGTAGATCCTCCAGTCCCCAGTCAATCTGTCTCAGCATATGCCACTTGGAACAAAAAACAAACTGTCCCTACCAAGCCCTGCCCATCTAGCAAATTCATGAGTAATATATATGATTGCTGTGGCTTTTGACCACTAAGTTTTGGGGTGGTTTTCAGTAAGTAATGGAGACAGACTATAATGTCTTATCCTACCTAATTGAAACTTTGATATATAATCTTGAAATAGTGTGAATTATGGCAGCAGTAACTTATTTTAGCTTCAGGTGTTTCTCTATTCCTCAATACTTTCCAATAAAGGATCTACAAAGCAAAAGGGCCAAAATTTAAGGAGACCAAGGCTGATGCAATGCTTGAGTAATCCACAAACTAGATAATCAATGTTGTGTCATTGAGATAGAAAGTACAATTATCCTAAAAGTCAATGTGTGAAGAATTAAAATGAGACATTACGGCATTGCCCATATCTCAGGAGAGCATAAATCTTCTGGGAGAAACTACTTCTTAGAAGCAGGATAGTGAATATGGGGCATTGCAACTCGAGCTATTGGGCTGACATCTTAACTTTTACTAGGTCTCAGATCTAAAGTTTTGATTTATATGAAATATACTAAATCAATATCAGTGCCAGATATTGGAGCACATGTGTTCACATGATCTTTGTCATGTCATTTTCTTAGAAGATTGTATCAATTCACACAATATTTTCTTTCAGGAAGAAATGCTCTCCTCCTTGCCTTGAAACTTCTCTGCATAAAATGAACAATCTGGGAATAGTGTAAATATTTTCCAACACAGGATCACTGTATTTTTCAATTTTTAATTACAGTTTTGTTTTCACCGTTACGTGAAATCATTCTGCCATTTAGGTACATTTGAGCACCATTTAAAAAACAGTAATTATTATAAATGACTAAATAACTTCAAAGGAGAGATTTCTTTCTTTTAGAAAGTGTCATCCTAACAAACTTTCCAATTGCAAAAATGATACTCAAGGTGATCCATTATGTACTTCAAGACACTGGACTTCATTTAAAGGGAAGAAGGAGAAATGGCCGCAGTAAAAGTTGTAAAATAAAAATAAAATGTCTTACAGACATGAAAAGAAATAGTTTACAAGTCAACATATTGATCTTAAAATAATTCAAATAAATATTGACTATCTTCAAATAAAGGGAATGATTACATAATTTAAGGCTATCCATTGAAAGAGATTGGGGCCAGGCATAGTGGCTCATGCCTGTAATCCCACACTTTGGGAGGCCGAGGTGGGTGGATCACCTGAGGTCAGGAGGTTGAGACCAGCTTGGCTAACATGGCAAAGCCCCGTCTCTACTAAAAATACAAAAATTAGCTGGGCGTGGTGTCACATGCCTGTAATCCCAGCTACTTGGGAGGCTGAGGCAGGAGAATCATTTGAACCCGGGAGGCGGAGGTTGCAGCGAGCTGAGATCATGCCACTGCACTCCAGAATGGGAGACAGAGCGAGATTCTATCTCAAAAGAGACAGAGAGAGAGAGAGAGAGAGAGAGAGAGAGAGAGAGAGAGAGATTGGACTTACGAATTTACATATGTCAATTGCATTTATTCCTAAGAACATTATTCCAAGGCTGAGAATTTACCCACTTCTGACTACAGGAGTACAATAACCAGCAAGTGCTGATAAGAAAGCAACATTTTAGATACAGACTTTCCAGGAGTTAATAAATAATATAGTGAAAGTTACTATGGTCCCATTGTTTTTAGTTTAATCTTGATATTATGCATATGTTTCAAAATGGGGTCCTATTCATATCTCATTTTCCTCAAGTGCTCGAGAATCATGCCTTCTATTCATTATGTGTTACAGCCGTCCTCAGTTGTTTTTAAATGACTGCATGTTTCATTCAGCAGCTTTCTTAATGGGGCAGCTGGAAAAATAAAAGATGACTGATGAAGCAGTGACGCTCATTTAAGCCACTGGCAAATATCATGTTATCCCCTGAGATTGGTGGCATTACCACCTTTCTCCATGCCCATTGAAGCCACTAGTAAGTATCATGTTATCCCCTGAGATCAGTGGCATTACCACCTTTCTCCTTGTCCATTTAAGCCACTGGTAAATAACGTGTTATCCCGAGATCAGTGGCATTACTACTTTCTCCTGTGTACTCACAGACGTATGTGCACATGTGAGCAACCAAGAACAGATGTAAAAAGAGTGTCCTGGGGATGTTATTAGGTTAAAAAAGTTCGTTACATCACAAAGAAGAAAATAGTTCCGTTATTTATAAGTAAGCTTTCAAACTGGAAAAATGTGATTTTGGTTAATATCATTTAGAGTGAAAATCAGAGAAGCCATTTATCAA
Organism: Homo sapiens; assembly: GCF_000001405.40. Lineage (NCBI taxonomy): Eukaryota > Metazoa > Chordata > Mammalia > Primates > Hominidae > Homo > Homo sapiens. The sequence goes on from NT_187679.1 coordinate 95,680, forward strand.
AGATGAATTTTGAATGAGTATAAATAATGTATGTATACTTATATAATATTTATGAAACACAGAATAATATATATGTGCTTATTTTCAAAATTGCTTAATAAATAAACATGGTGGTGCCAATTATAATTTTTAATTATTTAGTTTCTTGTTGATTCATTGATAAATTAGTTTTTCAGTTGACTTTATTTTCACTGATATCTTTCACTGGAGTTAAATTTTACTGCTTTATACATTTCCTTCTTGAGGAAATGTTAGTTTAGTTTTGCTGGTTTTTAGATTAACAAACTATCAATATTTTGTGAGTTTTTAATATTCCCAATGCATTATTCTTTGTAAAAAAATCCATGATCACTATTACTGAAAAAGACTGTGAGGAGAAGCTCAAAAGGCAATGTTATGTGGAGAAAATAGTGTAAGTCTTAGAAACAGATAGCACAGAATTGAATTCCATTTCTTCATCTATTAGCTTTGTGACATTGGGAATGTTATTTACTGTCCCTAATCTCTTCCTTCTCGTATATTAAAAAAAAAAAAAAGACTCCAGATATCTACTTTGGGGAGTTTTTAAAATAATTAAGGCAGATAAAGTTTGCTAAAAACCTAACTCAGAGCCTGGACCATTGTAGTTGATCAATACACTTAACTGTTATCATTTGAATAAATGAGATATTAATACTACCTCAGTTTTAGTATTTATAATAAGACAGTACAGTGTCAGATTCTGAAGCTGGACTGCAGTGTTCAAACCCAGGATCCTCTCCTCACCCACTGTGTGACCTTGGGAAACCTACTCACCCTTTCTGTTCCCTCATCAGTAAAATGAGAATAACAATAATAATAATACCTATCTTCTAAGTTTGCTTTGAGAATTAAATGAATTTATATAAGGCACGTGCTTTAGGTAGTGTCAATTACAGGCCGATTTCCATATAAATGTTTTCTGTTATTATTCAGTAGCTATGGCTACTTTCTTTATGATCCTGCAGATTGTCAATAGGCGAGCTGGGCTTAAGTCCCAGCTCCTTCACTTACTGAGTGACCTTTTTTAATTACTTGATAAATCTCATGAACCTGTTATGATCTGGGGAATCAACCTATTATGATTGGGGAATATTTTCTACCATCTCTGTGGCTCAGTTTCCTGATGTGTAAAATGAACATAATAAACTACCAGGGGATTTGGGATTATATTTTTATATATGTGTATATACATATATGCTCCATCTATGCTGTTAAGATATGTGTATCTACATATACTTGTATGTACATGTGTGTGAAGAGAAATAGATATAGATAAAGATATAGGTATCCTAAGACAAATCCTAGAAATAGAAAGTATTCAATAAATGCTAGCTATTTTTATGGAAATATAAAGAAACAAAAATTGTATTAATATAAATATGATTAAAATTGCTATATATATAAATTAAACCCCTCCCACAAATTAAAAGAAAAAAATGCTTTATTCATGATAATTATAACGATAAAGCAGATAATTTGCTTGGGGCAGGGCTCAGCTTCCATATTTTCCTCAATGGGACATTGTACTAGAAGTTAAAATACAGATTTATGTCTAAATAATTCCTTATGTTGAGGGGCAAATCTTGCCTCAGCCTCTTGACAGGTATCAATTAGGCGCACAGGACAAAGGATTTCTGTAGGCATAACCCAAGTTAAGTTTCAAATGATTGGAGTGCTGTCAGCTTAACCCACCTCTGCAGGTTGTGTGGAATCCAGCTCAGTGTGGGGATTAGAAAGCCGGATTACCTGATAGCCCAGGCTCACCACAAACCCTTTTCCTCAAAGACTTCTTCCCTGGGGGTGAGAAATGCCACACACCTAAAGGAAAGAGCCATCAGCATGAGAAATGCTGGTCAGATTTCATCAGTCCTGTGAGAATCCAGAGGACCTTTCCTAATGTCAGTGGAAACCCGGCTCCAGTGTGTAAGACATAGCTCTGGCAGCAAGGCTAGAGAGTGGAGAATAAGGAGGTGAAAATCGAACACCAAGAAGTCAGGTGCATGCTCCTTCCAGCGAGTCAGGATGCTGGAGGCCACCGCTGAGCCCAGACGCCGGCTTGAATTCAACCCGAGGATTTTAAACATTCACATGTAAGCACGGACAGGTTCTCCACCTGCTCTCTGTGAATCAAATGTCCATGAGCTTTTCCTTGTTTGGCGTGTTAACTTCTTGTCTGAACTGTGATTTTGGGAAATCTCAGCAGTTTCAGAATGTCTGGTAATGAGAATCTAAGAATAGAGCCACCCAGCAACCTGGAGCATCGTTACTACCTGGAGTGGAAATTATACCTGTGCCCATTTTAAAATGTACATTCTTATCGATGCAAGTGAGTCAGGGCCAATCATGTAATTTCTTTACTTGAGCAACTGTAAAATACGTAATATTTAATGCCCATGCCTATTGAGCCTTTTTATGTTTCACCTTGACAATATAAATTATTATAATGACATAAATATTAAAGCCGATCTAACATGTAATCATCATTGACAAGAACACATTTCAATGACTACACATCTCAATGCATTTTATTCCTTTCAAATCTAATTGACCAGCCTGATTTTTTATCACTTGATAAATCTCATGAACCTATTATGATCTGAAAAGCTCTCTTCAAGCATATTAAACTAAGTAGGCATTTGGGGGCTTTGATTTTTATGTAGAATTCTGTAACAATTTAAAGAAAACCATGACCAATGATGAAAAATCCATAATAAAAAAAGATTTCAGCCTAAGAAGCTAAGAAACCATAATGATGTCCTATAGGCTGCCCTAAAAAGAAGGCCAAATGTCATTATTTTGTCTCACATCACCAGCAGGAACTCTGAACTATCAATTAGATATTAAAAGCATAACTCCCCCAAATTCAGATATGACACTAGTGATAGATAGTTTAGATATTGATAGATAGATAGATGAGGCATAGATGGATACATAGATAGATAGATAAGATAGATGAAATAGAGATAGATACATAGAAGAAAGAAAGAAGTAAAGGAGGAAAAATAAAGGAAAAAGAAATGAATGAAAGAAGTAGGGAGGAAGGAGAAGGAAAGAAGAAAATAGAAGGAAAGAAGGAGGGAAAGAAGAAAAAAGGAAGGAAGGAAGGAAAGAAGAAAAAAAGGAAGGAAGGAATGGGAAGAAGGGAAGGAAGACAGGAAGGAAGCAAGGAAGGAAGAGAGGAAGGAAGGAGAAGAAGGGAAGGAAGACAGGAAGGAAGCAAGGAAGGAAGAGAGGAAGGAAGGAGAAGAAGGGAAGGAAGACAGGAAGGAAGCAAGGAAGGAAGAGAGGAAGGAAGGAGAAGAAGGGAAGGAAGACAGGAAGGAAGCAAGGAAGAAAGAGAGGAAGGAAGGAGAAGAAGGGAAGGAAGACAGGAAGGAAGCAAGGAAGGAAGAGAGGAAGGAAGGAGAAGAAGGGAAGGAAGACAGGAAGGAAGCAAGGAAGAAAGAGAGGAAGGAAGGAGAAGAAGGGAAGGAAGACAGGAAGGAAGCAAGGAAGGAAGAGAGGAAGGAAGGAGAAGAAGGGAAGGAAGACAGGAAGGAAGCAAGGAAGGAAGAGAGGAAGGAAGGAGAAGAAGGGAAGGAAGACAGGAAGGAAGCAAGGAAGGAAGAGAGGAAGGAAGGAGAAGAAGGGAAGGAAGACAGGAAGGAAGCAAGGAAGGAAGAGAGGAAGGAAGGAGAAGAAGGGAAGGAAGACAGGAAGGAAGCAAGGAAGAAAGAGAGGAAGGAAGGAGAAGAAGGGAAGGAAGACAGGAAGGAAGCAAGGAAGGATAGAAAGGTGGAAGAAACAAGGCAAGAAAGAAGAAAGAGATAATAAGATTTATTGTCAAGAAGCTGAATACCAGGGAGCATCTCCAGCAGCTTCGGTTCTGAAGATCTGACCGCAGGAACAACCTTCTCCAAGGTATTGGAGCTTTCCAGTTCACCCGTGTACGTGCGTAGATGGATGAACACACAGAAGGCTTGCCCATGGGTGCCTGGGTTGTAGGAGGATTACAAACACTGAGATGGTAAAAATGGGCCCTGGATTCTCCAGATTCCTGTTAATTTATACTTCTCTGTGGTGATTGTGGGGAACAATGAGTGGTAAGGGTGAAGGGAGACTCTCTTGACAGCCCGGTTTTCTCACAAGAAGTTCTTTGAATGAAGTTGGAAAAGTCGCTTGTGTTCAGCATCTAGGTTAACAGATGAATTCAGGGAAGGGGATAGCTGAGTGCTGGAGTCGGAATCCAGCTACCTGGAGCGGAAAGGGCACAGTCCAGTAAGTGATCAGAAAAATAGAAGGCAGCCATGAGCAAACAGACAAGGAACAGTATTCTGTAGATGAGGTGGAAAATGCTAGATCTGGGCATTTCTGTCCATTCAGAATGCAAGGTCTTTGCCTGGTGACCCTGCAAGGCCAAAAAGAAATATGCGGGTCCTTGGAGTGAAGCCAGCGGTTCAGGGGCCAGAGGGCTGGCAGGGCACAGGCCTGGGTTCGCTGCCAGTTTTCACATCAACACGTGCTGCCTTAGAATGATTCTGAAGGTCAGCAAACGAGAGAGGAGCATTTGCCACACAAAGTGTGAGACAGGAAGAAAAAGTTTAGGTGCAGAGGAGTCTCCTCGAATAGATGTACAAGTTAGTAAAATATTTTTCAGGATCCAGCAAGGCTTTGGGCAGTGAGCTGTATTTTGTGCAAGCCTAAATATGTTCTTAATCTTGTTTTCTGGAGAAAAGATGTGTTTTCATCTACCTTGCTCAAAGCACAACAAGTTGTGTGGCACAGTGCCCCGGAGTCTAGAAGAGGTACCCTCAAATCCATGAAAGTCTTCCTCCTGAATGAGGGCACGCCTGAGGCGCTAGAAGCAGCTCCTCCACAGAAGCCGTGGTTTAGGAGGGCTGGCTGCTTGTGTCCATTCCACCTGCCCTTGGAGCCTCCACGGAGGAATGTGGAGAGGACTCTGGGGTTGGCTGCCGAGCCCTTGCAACTCAAGATTAACACTCTTAACAAAGAGGGATGCAAATAGCTGCACTAACCTGTGGATGGTAGAAACAAATTCCAAATTCCAAAATTCTTTGGAGTTGACTTTTTGTTTTTGTTTTCTATAGTCCTAAAAATATAACATATTTAATAAATAGAAAGAAAGTTAAAGTTATCAAATGATCATACATTGGCTCCAATTCTCCTGCACACATGAATTACTGTATTTAACTGCTGTAGGCAACGCTGATCTTTCAGCCTGTAGACGGCTGTGTCTGTACCACATGGAATCATTTCCTAGGGGGTAATGTGCATGCCCGCCACTGTCTTTTTTCTTTTGTTTTTTTTTTTGAGATGGAGTCTCGCTCTGTCACCCAGGCTGAAGTGCAGTGGTGCTATCTCAGCTCACCACAACCTCCACCTCTCGGGATCCTGCCATTCTCCTGCCTCAGCCTCCTGAGTAGCTGGGATTACAGGCATGCACCACCACGCCCGGCTAATTTTGTATTTTTAGTAGAGATGGGGTTTCTCCTTGTTGGTCTGGCTGGTTTCGAACTCTCTACCTCAGGTGATCTGCCCCCTTCAGCCTCCCAAAGTGCTGGGATTACAGGCGTCAGCCACCACGCCTGGCTCTGCTGGCCACTTTCAGGAAACATTTGGTGCTGCTTCCTCCTGCCCATTGTCCTAAAGTTACCTCGAGACTCCCATCAAGATCTGGCAGGTGAACTTGTCCTTGTTTAAAAGTAAGGAAAGCTGAAGACTCCAGTATGTGTGCATTCATCAAGAGAAATAAAACCCAGCTCTTTTCACCCCATCACACCCCAGCCTTTCACTCGGCATAGGGTGTCCTGACCTTCACCTCCTCACTCGACTTTACCCACGCTCACAAACACAATGCCACCCTCCACAGGTCAGGGAAAACTCTACCCAAGCTTATGAGACAAAACAAAGGCTGTGTGAAACCAGTGGCTGGTGTGTCTTTACAAGCCTGTAGGAAAGGACAGGGCTACTGACTCCACCAAAGCCACGCAGCTTGGTGAAGCATGTGCTCATTTAAAACACGACTCATCAGGTGCTTCCTCCACTCTCTTTAACTGAATTATCTTGGGGCTTCATACTGGGTTTTATATAGAAGCAGTAATTCCACGGGAGTAGGAAGAACTCTGTTTTTTAAGATTTGAAATCCAGGTTTTCTGTGTAAGGTTGAGCCAGCCTTTCAACCTCACATGTGGAGAAAGTGAGTGTCGTTTCCTGGTGGATATCATTCCATTGCCTGCCCGGCATCCCTTCCTTTCCTTCTGAGGATCAAGCATCTCACTTTTAGTCCCTGTGGTCTGGGCTCCAGTCCTGGCCAACGGGAGTTCCACATGTCCCCTGGCCACAGGAGTGGCGACGGACACGTGACCCAGGCCCGACCCATGAGGGCCTCACCGTGCAGGTGCGCTGCAGCTCTCAGAAAATGGTGCTTCTGACTGTCCCTAACAGAGGTGTGTGCAGAGGCGGGGGTTGCCGGCCTGGAGTACTGGAGATCACACTTGTTGCCACACAGGGAGAGCATAATCGAGAGTAAAGCAGTGAAGAGAAAACCAAGGAAAGAAATACACAGACAGAGAGACTATGTAGCTATTATTTAGCCTCTGAATTCACTTCTGCCTGAAATTAGAAACTCCCAGATTCTTGGGTAATTACATAAATTTCTATTTATTTGAGCTGGACTTTCTTTCATTTGTAATTTAATTATCTTAGGGCTATTGCTAAAATTGATCTCCACCGAACAACATAATTATGAATGTAAAAGGTCTTTATAAACTCTCCAGTGCTATGTGTGAGTGAGGGATTATTTCTCCGAGAGGCAACACTCCTCCTGCATAAAATCGTAAGCCCTACCCCAGAGGCCTGTGCCCTGCTGGTACCACAGAGTGACACAGTGGAGCCCAGCACATAAACAAGTATTTTGTTTCCTTGTTTTTTTTAAAAAAAATTATTGTGATGCAAACCGTGTTACAAACACTGACTGACAGATTTCCATAGCTGCAAGGTTGTAACTACAGCTTCCAGGAGTGTCTTCCCACAGGTTTTTTGCGTGACTGACTCTTGCCAGTCTCAGCTTTCGTGTTGCTTCCTCTGAAAGTTCTCCATAGGGTCCACTGCTGAAGAATCTCTCCCTCATGCCTGCGCTGTCATCTTCCTTAGCACGTATTACTGCCTGAATTTCTGTTTATCTACTGATTTGTTTATCATCTCCACCATACAAAAGCTCCACAAAAGGAGTAGTCTGGTCTCCCATCTTCACCCTGGGGTCCGTAGTGACCAGAATCATGCCTGGCACATAGTAGATGCTTAATAACTATTTGTGAACTAAATGACTGACTTGTAGAAATGTGATTTTCTCTGTGCACAGGTATTGCAGGGCTGAATCTGACTCTAATGATCAAGACTTGCTCCAACAGATGCCTTTGGATATGAAAAATTGCATTATTATTGCTGAGACAAATATTCAGAACTAAAACTTTAGCACCTTTCTGATTTGTGAAAATACTCCTCTTTGGGCTCTAGTAACAGCCTTAGAAATTCAGTATCCTGAAATGTGTATCGACACCTAAATAGCCTCCATGATAACACTTGAGGTAGTAAACTGACAGTATAGAATTTTAATTCTATAATACAATATAACAAAATATGAAATGCAACACTGCATATATTTATGTGTATTACTGGTCATTTTAGAATACTATTATGTTGATGACACAGACACCTCCATACATAAAACCCTAAGGGACCAAGAATCTAAGCATCCCTGGGGTGGAGCTAAGCATCCTGGGGGTGGAGCTAAGCAGCCTGGGGGTGGAGCTAAGCAGCCTGGAGGTGGAGCTAAGCATCCTGGAGGTGGAGCTAAGCATCCTGGAGGTGGAGCTAAGCATCCTGGGGGTGAAGCTAAGCATCCTGGGGGTGGAGCTAAGCAGCCTGGAGGTGGAGCTAAGCAGCCTGGAGGTGGAGCTAAGCATCCTGGGGGTGGAGCTAAGCATCCTGGAGGTGGAGCTAAGCAGCCTGGGGGTGAAGCTAGGCATCCTGGGGGTGGAGCTAAGCATCCTGGGGGTGGAGCTAAGCATCCTGGGGGTGAAGCTAAGCATCCTGGAGGTGGAGCTAAGCAGCCTGGAGGTGGAGCTAAGCAGCCTGGAGGTGGAGCTAAGCAGCCTGGGGGTGAAGCTAAGCATCCTGGGGGTGAAGCTAAGCATCCTGGGGGTGGAGCTAAGCAGCCTGGAGGTGGAGCTAAGCAGCCTGGGGGTGGAGCTAAGCAGCCTGGGGGTGGAGCTAAGCAGCCTGGAGGTGGAGCTAAGCATCCTGGGGGTGAAGCTAAGCATCCTGGGGGTGAAGCTAAGCATCCTGGAGGTGGAGCTAAGCAGCCTGGAGGTGGAGCTAAGCATCCTGGGGGTGGAGCTAAGCATCCTGGAGGTGGAGCTAAGCAGCCTGGAGGTGGAGCTAAGCAGCCTGGGGGTGAAGCTGAGCATCCTGGAGGTGAAGCTAAGCATCCTGGAGGTGGAGCTAAGCAGCCTGGAGGTGGAGCTAAGCAGCCTGGGGGTGGAGCTAAGCATCCTGGACGTGGAGCTAAGCAGCCTGGGGGTGGAGCTAAGCAGCCTGGGGGTGGACCTAAGCAGCCTGGAGGTGGAGCTAAGCATCCTGGGGGTGGAGCTAAGCATCCTGGAGGTGAAGCTAAGCAGCCTGGGGGTGGAGCTAAGCATCCTGGAGGTGGAGCTAAGCATCCTGGGGGTGAAGCTAAGCAACCTGGAGATGGAGCTAAGTATCCTGGGGGTGGAGCTAAGCAGCCTGGAGGTGGAGCTAAGCATCCTGGGGGTGGAGCTAAGCATCCTGGGGGTGAAGCTAAGCATCCTGGAGGTGGAGCTAAGCAGCCTGGAGGTGGAGCTAAGCATCCTTGAGGTGGAGCTAAGCATCCTGGGGGTGAAGCTAAGCAGCCTGGGGGTGGAGCTAAGCAGCCTGGAGGTGGAGGTAAGCAGCCTGGGGGTGGAGCTAAGCAGCCTGGGGGTGGAGCTAAGCAGCCTGGAGGTGGAGCTAAGCAGCCTGGAGGTGGAGCTAAGCATCCTGGGGGTGAAGCTAAGCATCCTGGGGGTGGAGCTAAGCATCCTGGGGGTGGAGCTAAGCATCCTGGGGGTGAAGGTAAGCATCCTGGAGGTGGAGCTAAGCAGCCTGGGGGTGGAGCTAAGCATCCTGGAGGTGGAGCTAAGCATCCTGGGGGTGGAGCTAAGCATCCTGGGGGTGGAGCTAAGCAGCCTGGAGGTGGAGGTAAGCAGCCTGGGGGTGGAGGTAAGCAGCCTGGGGGTGGAGGTAAGCAGCCTGGGGGTGGAGCTAAGCATCCTGGAGGTGGAGCTAAGCATCCTGGGGGTGGAGCTAAGCATCCTGGAGGTGGAGCTAAGCATCCTGGGGGTGGAGCTAAGCAGCCTGGAGGTGGAGCTAAGCATCCTGGAGGTGGAGCTAAGCATCCTGGGGGTGAAGCTAAGCATCCTGGAGGTGGAGCTAAGCATCCTGGGGGTGGAGCTAAGCATCCTGGAGGTGGAGCTAAGCATCCTGGGGGTGAAGCTAAGCATCCTGGAGGTGGAGCTAAGCAGCCTGGGGGTGGAGCTAAGCATCCTGGAGGTGGAGCTAAGCATCCTGGGGGTGGAGCTAAGCATCCTGGAGGTGAAGCTAAGCAGCCTGGGGGTGGAGCTTAGCAGCCTGGGGGTGGAGCTATGCAGCCTGGGGTTGGAGCTAAGCAGCCGGGAGGTCCCATCTTTGGTTCAAATACGATGACTGTGGGTTCTCTGCTTGTTCCCTCCATGCTGTGGGGTTGCCATCGCCTCCCTGGGATGGTTTTTAAGTTGCACAGGTCATCTTACTCCATATTGCAATGTCGCTGTTTGCACGGATCCCCTCCCATTGCTGTACACTCTAGTCCTTCCACACTCATTATACTTGGAGGCTAAAGGATACTTCAGCTCCTGTCAGAGCTAAAGAGAAAGCAGGTGCAGAGGGAAAATGGATACCCCAAAGAGTTCTCTTGGAATTTTAAGGTGGGTATTTTCCTGGAGACATGAGGACCTGTGTTTATGCCCTGTGTACCTCACTGAATGTATGAAACAAGATTTAAGCTTTTTTGAACCCATTTTCTCATTGGCAAAATGGAACAATTATTTCTGTTAAAATTTGGAAGAGACAGGCCAGCTAGTAAAAGACATGCTTGATATAACTCAAATGTGGAATGGATTCATGTATACCCTAACCCATGTAATTTGAGGAAGCTCATTTTCTTGGCAAATATAACATGGTTCATGATTTGGTCCTCAGTTTTGCAAGTCCAGAAATCAGACAATGGCAGCAGACAAATATGATTTTTAAAAATCAGAGTAAAAAAATTGGACTTCTCAAAACTAAATTCACAGGATAGATAAGCTAAGCTGATGATTGATTTATTTTCAAAATTTTAGCTTGTTCTCACATAGACATCTACTTCACTGTCTCATGTTTCCTGAGAAGCTTGAACTTCAACCAAAAAGGCTTTTTGGTGTGTGTGGAATGAGAGCGAAGAGAAGTGGGTATTCCTGGGTGACGGTTTACCAGATCCCCCAGCCAGATTCTCACTCTGAGCAGAATGCCCCATCCTCCAGCCCCTCACTGCCCACAGCGGAGCACACATCATGGGGTGTGGCCTTCTCAGAGCTGTGTGCTCTGGTTGTCGGCATTCTCCTTACAAGCTGCCACAGACACTCTCGGCTGGCTGAGACAATGCCCAATGCCAATCTCATTCTTCCTTGTCTCCTCCCAGTAGAAAGCTAATGCCTGCTTTCTAGTGCCTCTTCTCTAGTGCCTCTTGAAGCTGGGATGGCTTTTTGGTAGTTCTGGTCAATAGTAGACCAACTGAAGACTGCTGGGCCGTTAAAGGGAAACTTCTGCATTCCTGACAGAAGGGACAGCTGGGGCCACTCCTTCTCCCTTCTTCGTGCCTTTACTGGAGACATGAGACTGGGCTTGGAGCAGTGCCATCATTTTAGGGTGCAAAAAATCAAGCCAACACACTTAAGATGACGCAGTAGAAATCGAGAAGGAGCCTGGGTTTTGGTGGCATTGCTGAGCCTTAGCCCTGGACGGTCTGAACAGCTTGCCCTGAGAGACCATTAAATGGCTTTATCGCGGCCGGGCGCGGGGGCTCACGCCTGTAATCCCAGCACTTTGGGAGGCCGAGACGGGCGGATCACGAGGTCAGGAGATCGAGACCATCCTGGCTAACACGGTGAAACCCCGTCTCTACTAAAAATGCAAAAATTAGCCGGGCGTGGTGGCGCGCGCCTGTAGTCCCAGCTACTCGGGAGGCTGAGGCAGGAGAATGGCGTGAACCCGGGAGGCGGAGCTTGCAGTGAGTCGAGATCACACCACTGCACTCCAGCCTGGGCGACGGAGCGAAACTCCGTCTCAAAAAAAAAAAAAAAAAAAATGGCTTTATCGTTTAGGCCACTGTCAGTTGAAATTCTGGGTTTTGTTTCTTTGTTTCCTAACACATATATCATTATCAATGGTTAATCTGTAGTTAGGAAGCTGATACTTTGGGCCTAGGAGACATTGTGTCTTTTTATAACTCAGCGATTTGGTTTTACTCTCTCACAGCAATTGCACTTCCTGTTATGTCCGAGTTCGTAGATAAGTCTGCACCGTAATTACCATGTACTGTCTGCAACACCTACCTTAAAGGCTTATTGTGAAGAAGAAATCACAATTTCTGAAAGTGCCTTAAAAACTATAAAGAGCTTTAGAAGAGCAAGACAGTCTTATTATTACTACCATCTGTAACATCTTCTAATGCAAGAGGAATAAAAGATAAAGGCATCTTCTTAATTTAGGGCATTTGTGGTGCTGTAAATTAAAGCAATGTTTTGTAGCATTCAGAACATTTGTTGCTATTTATCTTCCAATATTTTTTGAAAGAAGTTGCATATACCAATCAATAGCCACGTTTCTTTTACCTTGTTTATATTTTGTCTTGTTTTTAACAAATTGTATTGTATATATTTGAGGTTTGAGACATGATATTATATGATACATATAGATAGTAAAATGGTTACTATGGTGAAGCAAATGAACGTATCTACCATCTCACAGTTACTTTTTTGTGTGTAACAAAAGCAGCTAAAATCTACAAATATCATGCAATTGTATTAACTGTAATCCTTACGTTGTCCACTAAAACTCTACCCTCATTCATCCGACACATCTGTTCATCCTCTGTGTTTCCACTTTCTGTCCTTAGACCTACATCTCCCCATTTCCTTTCTCTTCAACTTCTCACGCTGGTAACCACGGTTTTATTCTCTCTCCCTGCATATTTGAGCTTTCCGATTTATCGTTTCATAGATTCCACATATAACTGAGACCACACAGTATTTTCCTTCTGTGTCTGGCTTATTTCACTTAGCAGGATGTCCTCCAGTTCCATCCATGTTGTGGGAAATGGCACGATCTCCTTTTTTTCAGGCCAAATGTTATTCCATTTTACATACGTGCCACATTTTCTTTACCCATTGGTCCATTAACACACACTTAGGTTGTTTCCGTATCTTGACAGTTGCAAATGATGCTGCAATGAAGATGGAAGTGCAGGTGTCTTTACAGGAGGGTGAGTTCATCTCCTTTGCCTAGAGACTCAGAAGAGGGATTGCTGGGTCATATGGTAACCTCCATACTGTTTTCCATAACAGCTGCACCAATCTACTTTCCCGCCAAAAGTGTGCCAGGCTTCCCTTTTCTCTGCACTCTTGCCAGCACACGTTAGCTCTTGCTTTTTGATAACAACCATGCTTACGGGTATGAGGTAGTATCTCATTGTGGTTTTAATATGCATTTTACTGATAATTAATGATATTGAGCATGTTTACATATGCCTGTTGACTAATTTTATGTCTTTGGAGAACTGTCTCATTTTTTGCCCAATTTTTATTTATTAATTTATTTATTTTTAATTTTCTTTTTTTTTATTATTATACTTTAAGTTTTAGGGTACATGTGCACAATGTGCAGGTTAGTTACATATGTATACATGTGACATGCTGGTGTGCTGCACCCACTAACTCATCATCTAGCATTAGGTATATCTCCCAATGCTATCCCTCCCCCCTCCCCCCACCCCACAACAGTCCCCAGAGTGTGATGTTCCCCCTCCTGTGTCTATGTATTCCCATTGTTCAATTCCCATCTATGAGTGAGAATATGTGGTGTTTGGTTTTTTGTTCTTGCGATAGTTTACCAAGAATGATGATTTCCAATTTCATCCATGTCCCTACAAAGGACATGAACTCATCATTTTTTATGGCTGCATAGTATTCCATGGTGTATATGTGCCACATTTTCTTAATCCAGTCTATCATTGTTGGACATTTGGGTTGGTTCCAAGTCTTTGCTATTGTGAATAGTGCCGCAATAAACATACATGTGCATGTGTCTTTATAGCAGCATGATTTATAGTCCTTTGGGTATATACCCAGTAATGGGATGGCTGGGTCAAATGGTATTTCTAGTTCTGGATCCCTGAGGAATTGCCACACTGACTTCCACAATGGTTGAACTAGTTTACAGTCCCACCAACAGTGTAAAAGTGTTCCTCTTTCTCCACATCCTCTCCAGCACCTGTTTTTCCTGACTTTTTAATGATTGCCATTCTAACTGGTGTGAGATGATATCTCATGGTGGTTTTGATTTGCATTTCTCTGATGGCCAGTGATGGTGAGCATTTTTTCATGTGTTTTTTGGCTGCATAAATGTCTTCTTTTGAGAAGTGTCTGTTCATGTCCTTCACCCACTTTTTGATGGGGTTGTTTTTTTCTTGTAAATTTGTTTGAGTTCATTGTAGATTATGGATATTAGCCCTTTGTCAGATGAATAGGTTGCAAAAATTTTCTCCCATTTTGTAGGTTGCCTGTTCACTCTGATGGTAGTTTCTTTTGCTGTGCAGAAGCTCTTTAGTTTAATTAGATCCCATTTGTCAATTTTGGCTTTTGTTGGCATTGCTTTTCGTGTTTTAGAGATGAAGTCCTTGCCCATGCCTATGTCCTGAATGGTAATGCCTAGGTTTTCTTATAATGTTATTTGTTTTTCTGCTATTGGGTTGTAAGAGTTATTTTTTAAATTTAGGATATTAACACATTATCAAATATGCAGTTTGCAAATATCTTCTACACTTCTGTCATTTGCCTCTTGGTTTGTTGATTGCTTCCTTTGCTGTGCAGAAAATTTTTAGTTTGATGTAACCCCATTTGCTTATTTTTGATTTGCAGCCTGGGCTTTAAGTGTGATGTCCAAAAAATTATTGCCACTTTCCCCTATGTTTTCTTCTAGGAGTTTTATAATTTCTGGTCTTCCATTTAGGTCTTTTTTTCATTTTGAGTTGATTTTTGTGAATGGAGTAAGATAAGCATCCAGTTTTATTCATTTGCATGTGGAAATACAGTTTTTCCAACACCATATTTTTTTTTTGAGACAGAGTTTCGCTGTGTTACCCAGGCTGGCTTGCGGTGGCACAATCTTAGCTCACCATAACTTCTGACTCCTGGGTTCAAGCAGTTCTCCTGCCTCAGCCCCCCAAGTAGCTGGGACTACCGGTGCCCACCACCATGCCCGGCTAATTTTTGTGTTTTTTTAGTAGAGACGGGGTTTCATTATGTTGGCCAGGCTGGTCTGGAACTCCTGACCTCGTGATCCGCCCACCTTGGCCTCCCAAAGTGCTGGGATTACAGGCTTCAGCCACCCACCGTGCCCGGCCTTCCAGCACCATATTTTGAAATGACTCTTCTTCTCTAATTGTGTCCTCTTGGCGCTCTTGTCAAAAATTAGTTGAATATGTATGTTTGGATTTATTTCTGGGCTCTGTATTCTGTCTCATTGGCCTATGTGTCTGTGTTTATGCTAATAGCATATTGCTTTGGTTAATATTACTTTGTAATATGATTTTAAATAGGGTTGTGTGATAACTGCCTTTCTTTCTCGGTATTGCTTTGGCTGTTCAGGGATTTTTGTGGTTCTGTACAAATTTTAAGGGTTTTTTTGCTATTTCTGTGAAGAATACCATTGAGATTTTGATAAGGATTGCATTAATCCACATTGCTTTGGGCAGTATAAACATTTTAACAATATCAATTATTCTGAGAAACAAACATTAGATAGCTTTCCATTTATTTGTGTCTTCCTCAATCTATGTTATTAATATTTTGTATTTTTTAGCCTACAGATCTTTACCTCCTTGGTTAAATTTATTCCAACTATTTTGTTTTTAATGTTATCGTAAATGGGATTGTTTTCTTGATTTCTTTTTCAGCTAAGTTGTTATTTGTGTATAGAAGTGCTGTGGATATTTAGAGTTGCTTCAGCGTCCTGGTGCCGCTGCACTGCGGAGACCGTGTGGTCCCTTAGCCAAGATGCCCGAGGAGACTCAGACCCAAGACCAACCAACGGAGGAGTAGGAGGTTGAGACGTTCACCTTTCAGGCAGAAATTGCCCAGTTGATGTCATTGTTCATCAATACTTTCTACTTGAACAAAGAGATCTTTCTGAGAGAGCTCATTTCAAATTTATCAGATGCATTGGACAAAATCCTGTAGGAAAGCTTGACGGATCCCAGTAAATTAGACTCTGGGAAAGAGCCGCATATTAGCCTTATACCAAACAAACAAGATCGAACACTCACTATTGTGGATACTGGAATTGGAATGACCAAGGCTGACTTGATCAACAACCTTGGAACTATCACCAAGTCTGAGACCAAAGTGTTCATGGAAGTTTTGCAGGCTGGTGCAGATATCTCTATGATTGGCCAGTTCAGTGTTGGTTTTTATTCTGCTTATTCAGTTGCTGAGAAAGTAACAGTGATCACCAAACATAACAATGATGAACAGTATGCCTGGGAGTCCTCATTAAGGGGATCATTCACAGTGAGGACAGACACAGGTGAACCTATAGGTCATGGAACAAAGGTTATCCTACCGCTAAAAGAAGACCAAACTGAGTACTTGGAGGAACGAAAAATAAATGAGATTGTGAAGAAACATTCTGTTTATTGGATATCCCGTCACTCTTTTTGTGGAGAAGAAACATGATAAAGAAGTCAGCAATGATGAGGCCGAAGAAAAGGAAGATAAAGAAGAAGAAAAGGAAAAAGAAGAGAAAGAGTCCGAAGACAAACCTGAAATTGAAGATGTTGGTTCTGACGAAGAAGAAGAATAAAAGAAGGATGGTGACAAGAAGAAGAAGAAGAAGAAGAAGAAGAAGATTAAGGAAAAGTACATCGATCAAGGAGAACTCAACAAACAAAGCCTATCTGTACCAGATACCCTGATGACTTTACTAATTAGGAATACAGAGAATTCTACAAAAGCTTGACCATTAACTGGGAAGATTACTTGGCAGTGAAGCATTTTTCAGTTGAAGGACAGTTGGAATTCAGAGCCTTTCTATTTGTCCCACGACTTGCTCCTTTTGAGCTGTTGGAAACCAGAAAGAAAAAGAACAAAATCAAATTGTCTGCACGCAGAGATCTCATCATGGATAACTGTGAGGAGCTAATCCCTGAATATCTGAACTTCATCAGAGGGGTGGTAGACTCGGAGGATCTCCCTCTAAATATTTTCCGTGAGATGTTGCAATGAAGCAAAATTTTGAAAGTTATCAGGAATAATTTGGTCAAAAAATGCTTAGAACTCTTTACTGAACTGGTAGAAGGTAAAGAGAGGTACTAGAAGTTCTATGAGCCGTTCTCTAAAAACATAAAGCTTGGAATACACGGAGACTCTCAAAATCAGAAGAAACTTTCAGAGCTGCTAAGATACTACACATATGCCTCTGGTGATGAGATGGTTTATCTCCAGGACTACTGCACCAGAATGAAGGAAAACCAGAAACATATCTATTATATCACAGGTGAGACCAAGGACCAGGTAGCTAACTCAACCATTGTGCAACGTCTTTGGAAACATGGCTTGGAAGTGATCTATACGATCGAGCCCATTGATGAGTACTGTGTCCAGCAGCTGAAGGAATTTGAGGGGAAGACTTTAGTGTCAGTCACCAAAGAGGACTTGGAACTTCCAGAGGATGAAGAAGAGAAAAAGAAACAGGAAGAGGGAAAACAAAAAACGAAACAAAAAAAAAACCAAAGTTTGAGAACCTCTGCAAAATCGTGAAAGACATTTTGGAGAAGAGTTGAAAAGGTGGTTGTGTCAAACCAATTGGTGACGTCTCCATGTTGTATTGTCTCAAGCACATATGGCTGGACAGCAAACATGGAGAGAATCATGAAAGCTCAAGCCCTAAGAGACAACTCAACAACAGGTTACATGGCAGCAAAGAAACACCTGGAGATAAACCCCGACCATTCCTTTATTGACACCTTAAGGCAAAAGGCAGAGACTGATAAGAATGACAAGTCTGTGAAGGATCTGGTCATCTTGCTTTATGAAACTGCGCTCCTGTCTTCTGACTTCGGGCTGGAAGGTCCCCAGACACATGCTAACAGGATCTACAGGATGAACAAACTTGGTCTGGGTACTGATGAAGATGACCCTACTGCTGATGATACCAGTGCAGCTGTAACTGAAGAAATGCCACCCCTCGAAGGAGATGACGACACATCACGCATGGAAAAGTAGACCAACCTCCAGCTGAGGGATGTCTTACCTGTTCGGTACTCTACAGTTCCTCTGAGAATATATTTTCAAGGATGTTTTTCTTCATTTTCGGTAACATTAAATAGTCTGTATGGCATGACAACAACTACTTTAAGGGGAAGTTAAGATTTCTGTCTATTTCTAAGTGATGCTATGATACCTTAGGCACTAAAGCAGAGTTAGCAATGCTTTCTTAGTTTCACATTGGCTTATTTTGACAGATGTAAGATGTATGTAACATGATGCTAACTTTGTGGTCTAAAGTGTTTAGCTATCAAGCCCGATTCCTTAGTAGACCAAGTCTTGTTATCAAAGTGTTCCTGAGCTATACCTTGATGTTTAGAAGAAAAGTATTTGTTACATCTTGTAGGATCTACTTTTTGAACTTTTCATCCCCTGTAGTTGCCAATTCCACATGTACTAGTCCCCTAGAAACAGGTTAAACTGAAGCAACTGGATGGAAGGAAATCTCCATAGGGCTTGTTTTCCAAAGAAAAGTATTGTTTGGAGGCGCAAAGTTATAAGTCTACCTAAGCATAACATAAAGCTGTTCAAAAATAACTCAGAGCCAGTCTTGTGGATGGAAATGTAGTGCCCGAGTCACATTCTGCTTAAAGTTGTTTCAAATACAGATGAATTAGAAGAAAAAAAAAAAAGAAATACTACTGATATTTATGTGTTAATTTTGTATTCTACAACTTTACTGAATTCATGTATTTCTTCTAATAGTTTTTTCTGGAATCTTTGGGGTTTTCTACTCATAGAATCATGCCATCTGCAGTCAGAGATGAATTAACATCTTCCTTTTTAGTTTAGATGTCTTTTATTTCTTTTTCCCTTTTAAATTGCCTTTGCTAGTGCTTCCAGTACTATGTAGAAGGCATGTGGTGAGAGTGGGCAGCCCTCTCTTATACCAGATCTTCGTGCAAAAGAGTTCAGTTCTTCCCTGTTGATTATGATACTAGCTGTAGGTTTCCCATAAATGGCCTTTATTATGTTGAGAAACTTTCCTTCTGTATGTAAACAATTAGGGGTTTTTATTGAGAAAGAGTGCAAAATGTTATCAACCTTGTTTATACTTTAAAATTTTTCAACATGAGTAATTATTTAAGTAAGGGAAAGAAGGCCTGTCAGGGTGACCAGCGGTCCATGTTTGCCTGGTCCTGTCCTGGTGTTTTCACTGAATTTCTTGTATCCTGGGGAAATTCCTAAATCCCAGGCAACACGAGTGGCTAAACCATCACTCCACCAATTGTATTGTCCTTACATCTTTTAGGTTACATTGCCTTTAGCTGTCTCTAATGTTAAAGGTCTAGTATTTCATCTGCTCATCCACATAACAAACATCAGCTGAGTCAACCCACCAATGTGTCCAGCTCCATGAGTACAGATAAGAAGAAGGCTCATCCGAGAGCTCACAGTCCTCATGGGCAGAGCTGACCTTGGCACATAATTACATCATTATCACACCATGTCAGACTGACGGAAGCCAATGTGGTCAGCATCTGTGGGGTCCTTTATAAACATCTGCTGTTTTCAGCAACTAGAAGCTGGTTGGAACTTTTAAAATTAGGTAAAAAGTTATAATAAAGGCAAGTTGCGGACTAAGGCAAGTTGCAGACTAAGTCTACCACAAACTCAAACACTTAGAAGCATAAATGCCTCAACACAGTCACACAACCTGTGTATTTTTTAACTTGATGTCCTGTGCTCTACTATAAACACCCTGACAAGCATTTCACACCAAAGATTATTGTAGGAAAAGCACAATTACATTCTAATGGTGGGATCCACTAACCTCTGAGTTAGATTAGACAGAGCAATCCTGCCTAAGAGTAGGGCAAAGAGACCCAATGGCTACAAAGAACTTGGATGCAACATTACAGGTGTGATCCTGCTAGGTTTCCAGATTCCACTCACACAGGAATGCCAGAGTCCATGGAATTTTTCCAGACAATTATATATAGAGAGCATTATTTATTTTATCAAGAAAAAAGGAGAACTATTTCTAGCATTCTTTATGCTGATTAACAAACCAGCTGCTGTGTATTTAGATGAGAACCGACCTACTTGCCATAGATAGATCTAGAGTGTGAAGTCTTTGTTAACATACTTCAATTGCAAACAAGTAATTTCTGGAATATGAATTAAACTTAATTTACACATGTGGAAGGCTAAGGCATTTTTAAATAAATTATCTTGCAACAAATATAAGAAATAATTAGTGGTTGTTCTTTGAAAATGTAGAAAAAATCTCTCTGACAAAACAAAATACTTAGGCACTTCAAGGACTTGACAAGGTGACCTGTGAACCAGGTCTGAGGGATGAATATGAATTTGCAAAATTAAGGGAGGAAAAGTGATATTTGGTGGAAGACAGAATCCTGCACAAAGGTGTCTCCATAAAAGTTCTTACTACTTCAGGAAACTTCAAGAAGTGACTGAAAGCTCAGGGTCTTAGGAACAAGGGTTGAGAAATGAGCCTGAAACGGATATTTGAGAAGTCAAGATGGTGGCAGGATCCGGAAGCCACACTAAGTTGTTTGGACTTTCTGCTTAAGTATTGAGATGATAGGGGCACTTTTTTTTAGATAGTACAGTCACTTATTGCTTAGGTAGCAATGAGAAGAACGGATTGAAGAGAGAAAGGTATCAGGGAAACAAACCAGAAGCAAGACATGATGTAGACTTGGAGTCAGGCTTCAGAATGTATTCATTCATTCAACAACCAATATCATATGAACTGAGCACCTACCAGGCACTCTACAGTAAAGCAGACCCTGGAGATACAGCGCTGAGAATGCAGCCACGCTCTCAAACTAGGCGTGGTGCTTGCGCCTGTGGCAGGAGGATTGCCTGAGCCCAGGGGCTCCAGGCTGCACTGAGCTATGTTTTTGCCACTGCACTCCAGTCTGGGTAGCAGGGTGAGACCCCGTCTATGCATAAATAAATAATAATAAAAAATCTCAGTCCTCATGGACAGGGTGAGCACATCCCAGTTTGGCAGAGTCAGTTGTTTAATGTGACTTTCAAAGGTTCCAAGAATATCTCATAAATAATGTGCTCATCCTGCTCTTGCCTCACCCATTTCAGAAAAGGAGACAGACACTCAACAAACAAATGAAGCCTGTTAGTAAAGGGTGCATAATGGGGACACGGGATCTGAAAAGAAAATGAGGTAGGAATGGAGACTGGAGTGTGTGCATGTGTGTGAGTGTGTTTGTCTCTGTGTGAATTTTAACACAGTGAGCAGTGGAGGGAGAAAGCCATGGGGCCACCTCAGGGAAGAATTCCTGACCTAGGAGATGCAAGCACAGAGCCTCTGAGAGGAAGCCTGTGAGGAGCAGTGAGGGGGCCTGGGCAGCTGGAGCAGAGTGAGCGAACGGGATGGGACCAGAGATCCAGCAAGGGACCAGACCATGTCAGCCCTCAGGGGCCACTGAAGAAACTCAGGCTGCCTGGAAAAAAGAGGGGCTACCACTGGGTAATTTTGAGTAAGAGCAACATTGTCTTAACTAACTTTACAAAATATCTCAGTTTTATGTTGACAAAAGTCATAACTACTTTAAAATAAGCAATGACTTTCTCCAAGCTATTTTATTTAGATTCAAGCTGCTGTGAGCCAGTGGGTAGTAGTTAAGATTAATATGCAAATAACACATTTTAAACTGCAGGAGTGAATTACATTTCTAGGGCTGCTAAAACAATTGCAACTTTTTAGACTCCCATGAATGTGACATTTTCACTTGCATTATATTATTTTAATTTTACAATCTGCTTGCCAAAGAGAGGTCATTCCTTCCATTTTACAATGAGGAAACTGAGTCCTAGAAAGGTTAAGAACAGTTGGCCCATATGCAGAAAACTGAAACTAGACCCCTTCCTTACACTTTATACAAAAATTAACTCAAGATGGACTAAAGACTTAAACATAAAACTCCAATCCATAAAAACCCTAGAAGAAAACCTAGGGAATACCATTCAGGACATAAGCATGGGCAAAGACTTCATAACTAAAACACCAAAAACAATGGCAGCAAAAGCCAAATTGACAAATGGGATCTAATTAAACTAAAGAGCTTCTGCACAACAACAATAAAAAACTATCATCAGAGTGAACAGGCAACCTACAGAATGGGAGAAAATTTTTGCAATCTACCCATCTGACAAAGGTCTAATATCCAAAATCTACAAGGAACTTAAACAAATCTACAAGAAAAAAACAAACAACCCCATCAAAAAGTGGGCAAAGTATATGAACAGACACTTTTCAAAAGAAGACATTTATGTGGCCAACAAACGTATGAAAAAAACTCAACAACACTGATTTTCATGCACATCCGTGTGAAGAGACGACCAAACAGGCTTCGTGTGAGCAATAAAGCTTTTAATCACCTGGGTGCAGTGGGGCTGAGTCAGAAAAGAGTCAGCGAAGGGAGATAAGGGTGGGGCCGTTTTATAGGATTTGGGTAGGTAAAGGAAAATTACAGTCAAAGGGGGTTTGTTCTCTGGTGGGCAGGAGTT
The DNA here is from genome assembly GCF_000001405.40 of Homo sapiens. Classification (NCBI taxonomy): domain Eukaryota; kingdom Metazoa; phylum Chordata; class Mammalia; order Primates; family Hominidae; genus Homo; species Homo sapiens. Next base: position 117,876 of record NT_187679.1, read on the forward strand.
GGGGTAGCAAGGTGCTCAGTGGGGGTGTTTTTGAGCCAGGGTGAGCTAGGAAAAGGACTTTCACAAGGTAATGTCATCAGTTAAGGCAAGGACCAGCCATTTACACTTCTTTTGTGGTGGAATGTCATCAGTTAAGGTGGGGCAGGGCATATTCACTTCTTTTGTGATTCTTCAGTTACTTCAGGCCATCTGGGTGTATACGTGCAGGTCACAGGGGATGCGATGGCTTGGCTTGTCTTGGGCTCAGAGGCCTGACATTCCTGCTTTCTTATATTAATAAGAAAAATAAAATAGTGTTGAAGTGTTGGGGCTGCGAAAATCTTTGGGGGGTGGTATGAAGAGAGAATGGGCAATGTTTCTCAGGGCTGCTTCGAGCGGGATTAGGGGCGGTGTGGGAACCTAGAGTGGGAGAGATTAAGCTGAAGGGAGGTCTTGTGGTAAGGGGTGATATTGTGGGGTAGTTAGAAGAAACATTTGTCGTATAGAATGATTGGCGATGGCCTGGATATGGTTTTGTATGAATTGAAAAACTAAATGGAATAAGAGAAGGAGAAAAACAGGTATAAAAGGTAGATATCAGCTGTGATGGCTTGGAGAAACAGTGTAAACTGGCAGTGTAAACAAGAGCAGGGCATGTATGAGTAGTTGAGAACGGTGAATAGGAGTATGACTAGACAAAAGATAGTAGGGATGACAAGTTTTTTTGGGGCACAGTCTAAGTTGGTCTGGTGTCAAATGAGACTGGGGCCTAACAAAAAGGAGTATCTATACAGGAGCTCAAATGGGCTGTACCTTGTAGCATTCTGAGGACAGGCCTGAATTCTGAGAAGCAAAAGTGGTAAATGTATTGTCCAGTCCTTTTTAAGTTAGTGGCTGAGCTTGGTGAGGTGTGTTTTTAAAAGACCTTTAGTCCATTACTAAGAGCCTGAAAAACTGCTTGGCTGATTTGACTAATAAAGGCTCACTGTTATCAGACCGTATTGAGGTGGGAAGGCTAAACTGAAGAATTATGGCTGACAGAAGGGAAGAAATGACTGCGGTGGACTTCTCAGACCCTGTAGGAAAGGCCTTTACTTATTCAGTAAAAGTGTCTATTTAGACTAAGAGGTATTTTAGTTTCCTGACTCAGGCATGTTGAGTAAAGCTAATTTGCCAGTTCTGGGTGGGGGCAAATCCTCGAGCTTGATGTGTAGGGAAGGGATGGGGCCTGAATAATCCCTGAGGAGTAGTAGAATAGCAGATGGAACACTGAGAAGTTATTTCCTTGAGGATAGATTTCCACAATGGAAAGGAAATGAGAGGTTCTGAGAGGCGGGCTAGTGGCTTGTACTATAGCATAACCTGCCTTTGCTGGTGTGTGGCGATTAGGCCTGGTGGAACCGCCATCAATAAATCAAGCGTGATCAGGGTGAGGAACAGGAAAGAAGGAAATTTGGGGAAATGGGGTGAATGTCAGGTGGGTCAGAGAGATACAGTTATGGGGGTCAGGTGTGGTATCAGGAATAATGTGGGAGGCCAGATTGAAGTCTGGGCCAGGGAAAATGGTAATTGTGGGAGACTCAACAAAGAGTGAGTACAGCTGAAGGAGCCGGGGAGCAGAAAGTATATGCATCAGGTATGAGGAAGCAAATAGATTTTGGAAGTTGTGAACTTTAGAGAGTGAGTTGAGCATAGTTTGTGATTTTGAGGGCCTCTAAAAGTTTAGAGGCCCTCAAAATCACAAACTATGCTCAACTCACTCTCTAAAGTTCACAACAACTCCTTTCCTTCCTAGGCATATAGTTAGTGCGATCAGAATTCTTACACAGCGGCAGCCGCTGCATGCAGACATCAGGGCTAGGCTAAAACAGTAAGGTCAAGTTGTTTGCACAGAAAGGCTACAGGGTGCAGTCCTGGCTGTTGCATAAGAATTCTGATCGCACTAACTATATGCCTAGGAAGGAAAGGAGTTATTGTTTTGTAAGGGATTGAGGTTTGGGAGATTAATCGGACACGATCAGCAGGGAAAGCACGTATGTTTTTATGAGAATTATGCCGAGATAGGTAACAGATGAGGATGAAATTTGGGCTTGACTGAAGTAATGGGGGCTGTCTATGAAGCCTTGCGGCAGTACAGCCTTGGTAATTTGCTGAGCCTAATGGGTGTCAGGGTCAGTCTAAGTGAAGGCGAAGAGAGGCTGGGACGAGGGGTGCAGGGGAATAGTGAAAAAAGCATCTTTAAGATCAAGCACGGAACAGTGAGTTGTGGAGGAGGGTATTGAGGACAAGAGTGTAGGGGTTTGGCACCACAGGGTGGATAGGCGAAACAATTTGGTTGATAAGGCATAGATCCTGAACTAACTTGTAAGGCTTGTCTGGCTTTAGGACAGGTAAAATGGGGGAATTGTAAGGATAGTTTATAGGCTTTAAAAGGTCATGCTGTAGCAGGCGAGTGATAACAGGCTTTAATCTTTTTAAAGCATGCTGCGGGATGGGAATATTGGCGTTGAGTGGGGTAAGGGTGATTAGGTTTTAATGAGATGGTAAGGGGTGCATGATCGGTCACCAAGGAGGGAGTAGAGGTATACTTGTGGGTTAAGGTGGGGGGATACAAGAGGAGGACGCAAAGGAGGCTTTGGATTGGGAGGAGGGGCGGCAATGAGATGTAGCTGTAGTCCAGGAATAGTCAGGGAAGCAGATAATTTAGTTGAAGTGTCTTGGCCTAATAAGAGAACTGGGCAGGTGGGGATAACTAAAAAGGAGTGCTTAAAAGAGCATTGTCTAAGCTGGCGCCAGAGTTGGGGAGTTTTAAGAGGTTTAGAAGCCTGGCCGTCAATACCCACAACAGTTATGGAGGCAAGGGAAACAGGCCCTTGAAAAGAAGGTAATGTGGAGTGGGTAGCCTCCATATTGATTAAGAAGGGGACGGGCTTACCTTCCACTGTGAGAGTTACCTGAAGCTCGGCGTCCGTGATGGTCGAGGGGGCTTCCGAGGTGATCGGGCAGTGTCAGTCTTCAGCCGCTAAGCCAAGAAGATCTGGGAAGGAGTCAGTCAGAGAGCCTTGGGCCAGAGTTCCAGGGGCTCTGGGAGTGGCTGCCAGGTGAGTTGAACAGTCCGATTTTCAGTGGGGTCCCGCACAGATGGGACGCGGTTTAGGAGGAATCCTGGGCTGCGGACATTCCTTGGCCCAGTGGCCAGATTTCCGGCACGTGTAGCAAGCTCCTGGGGAAGGAGGTTCTGGAGGAACGCCTGGCTGCTGCGGTTCAGGCGTTTGGAAGTTCTTGTGTGCTGGAGATGTGGCTGGGGTTTGTCTCACAGTGGAGGCAAGGAATTGCAACTTTTTTATATTATTGTACGCCTTGAAGGCAATGTTAATTAAATCCTGTTGTGGGGTTTGAGGGCCGGAATTTAATTTTTGGAGTTTTATTTAATGTCGGGAGCAGATTGGGTAATAAAATGTATTTTGAGAATAAGACGGCCTTTTGACCTTTTAGGGTCTAGGGCTGTAAAGTGTCTCAGGGTTGCTGCCGAACGAGCCATGAATGGGGCTGGATTTTTATATTTGATGAAAAAGAGCCTAAATGCTTCTGATTTAGGATAAAGAAAAAGGAGCTTTAACCTTGACTACGCCTTTGGCTCCAGCCACCTTTTTAAGGGTAAATTGCTGGGCAGGTGCGGGAGGGCAAGTGGCAGAATGAAACTGAAAGCTGGACCAGGTGTGAGGAGGGGAGGTGATAAAAGGATTACAGGGTGGAGGAGCAGAGGCTGAGGAAGAATTGGGACCTGGCTCGGCCTGGCGAGGAGCAGCCTGGGGAGGAAGGGAGAGGTCAGATGGGTCTGTAGAAAAGGAAGATTAGAAAGACTCAGGGACGCTTGGGGTTGGTACTGAGGGGACAGGCGGGAGGGAAAGAAGGAAGATTTGGGACAAGTTGCACTGGGCACAGAGACTAGGAAGGGACTGATGTGTAAAAGAATGCCTGGACATCAGGCACCTCAGACCGTTTGCCTATTTTACGACAAGAAATATTTAGATCTTGCAGGATGGAAAAATTCAAAGTGCCATTTTCTGGCTATTTGGAACTACTGTCAAATTTGTATTGGGGTCAAGCGGCATTGCAGAAGAAAATAAGGCATTTAGGTTTCAGGTCAGGTGTGAGTTGAAGAGGTTTTAAGTTTTTGAGCACACAGGCCAAGGGAGTAGAAGGAGGAATGGAGGGTGGAAGGTTGCCCATAGTGAAGGAAGCAAGCCTAGAGAAAAGAGAGAGTAGAGAAATGGAGGGAAGGGGTTCGGAGGTTCTTACCTTCCAGAAAAGTGGGAAAAGGGGTTGGGGCGCAGAGATAAGAGGTCGGGGCAGGGAAATAAGGGATGGGGCACAGAAATAAGGGGTCAGGGCATGGAAATAAGGGATTGGGGCACAGAGATAAGAGGTCGGGGTGTGGAAATAAGGGATTGAGGTGCAGAGATATAAGAGGTTGTTGCACGGAAATAAGGGATTGGGGCACAGAGATAAGAGGTTGTTGCACGGAAATAAGAGATTGGGGCACAGAGATAAGAGGTTGGGGCACAGAAATAAGGGATTGGGGATTCTTGCCCAGTAGAAAAGCAGGACTTGCCACTAAGGGTGAAGGAGAAGGGGTTGAGGGGTACTTGCCCCTCTCCCAGAAAAGCAGAGAAGGGGTAGAGACAAGGAGAGAAGGGGTTGGGGTACTTGCCCTGTCCCCAGAAAAGCAGAGAAGGGGTAGAGACAAGGACAGAAGGGGTTGGGGTACTTGACCCTTCTCCAGAAAAGCGGGACTTGCCGCTAAGGGTGAAGGACCAAGGCAGGCGTCCCTGCGTGGTCTGACATCCTTGAAACATGGGTGTATAATCAGAGAGGTGTCCCTGCAATGATTAAACACCAAGGGAAGGCTGCCTTCCCAGTCCGTGACCGGCACCGGAGTTTTGGGTCCATGGATAAAATGTGTCTCCTTTGTCTCTCCCAGAAAATGAAAGGAATTGAAATTAAGAGAAGGGAGAGATTGAAGAGTGGAAAGGAGAAAGTGGTTGAGGGACAGTGAGAGAGGTTGGAGAAGAGAGTAAGAAGAGGCCGCTTACCTGATTTAAAATCGGTGAGATGTTCCTTAGGCTGGCTGGTCTGAGGACCTGAGGTCATAGGTGGATCTTTCTCACGGAGCAAAGAACAGGAGGACAGGGGATTGAGCTCCCAAGGGAGGTCCCCCGATCCGAGTCATGGCACCAAATTTCATGCGTGTCCATGTGAAGAGACCACCAAACAGGCTTTGTGTGAGCAATAAAGCTTTTAATCACCTGTGTGCAGGTGGGTTGAGTCAGAAAAGAGAGTCAGCGAAGGGAGATAAGGGTGGAGCCATTTTATAGGATTTGGGTAGGTAAAGGAAAATTACAGTCAAAGGGGATTTGTTCTCTGGCAGGCAGGAGTGGGGGTCGCAAGGTGCTCAGTGGGGGTGATTTTGGGCCAGGATGAGCCGGGAGAAGGACTTTCACAAGGTAATGTCATCAGTTAAGGCAAGGACCGGCCATTTACACTTCTTTTGTGGTGGAATGTAATCAGTTAAGGTGGGGCAGGGCATATTCACTTCTTTTGTGATTCTTCAGTTACTTCAGGCCATCTGGGTGTATACGTGCAGGTCACAGGGGATGCGATGGCTTGGCTTGGGCTCAGAGGCCTGACACTGATCATTAGAGAAATGTAAATCAAAACCACAATGAGAGCCATTTCATGCCAGTCAGAATGGTGATTATTAAAAAGTCAGGAAACAATAGATGCTGGTGAGACTGTGGAGAAATAGGAATGCTTTTACTCTGCAGATGAGAATGTAAATTACTTCAACCATTGTAGAAGACAGTGTGACGTATCCTCAAGAATCTAGAACCAGAAATACCATTTGACCCAGCAATCCCATTACTGGGTATATACCCAAAGGATTATAAATCATTCTATGGTAAAGACACATGCACATGTATGTTTATTGCAGCACTGTTCACAATAGCAAAGACATGGAACCAACGGAAATGCCCATCAGTGATAGACTGGATAAAGAAAATGTGGCACATATACACCATGGAATACTATGCAGCCATAAAAAAGGATGAGTTCATGTCCTTTGCAGGGACATGGATGAAGATGGAAGACTTCATCCTCAGCAAACTGACACAGGAAGAGAAAACCAAACACTGCATGTTCTCACTCACAAGTGGAAGTTGAACAATGAGAACACATGGACATAAAGAGGGGAACAACACACATCAGGGTCAGTCAGGGGGTGGGAGGTGAAGGGAGGGAGAGCATTAGGACAAACAGCTAAGGTATGTGGGGCTTAAAACCTAGACGGCGGGTTTATAGGTGCAGCAAACCACCTGGCACAGGTATACTTACATAACAAACCTGCATGTTCTGCTCCTATATCCTGGAACTTAAAGTCAAATTTAAAAAAAAAATGGAGTTCAGGTTCAGACAAGTAAACAGAGAAAAAGGCAGATTTCTGAGAGCTAAGGGCATATGGATTGAAAATGAAGGCTACAGGACAGAATGCTTATTTGAAAGGACTGGCAGTGCAAGAAGAAAGAAAGAGGACTTTATATTATGTGTTAAACTTAATGAACCTGGGGGAACTTTTTCAGTCCATTATTTTAATCTTAATAATAAAATTCTTTTTAAAAGCCCCACTATGCTATAATCTGAATTAAGCTATACTGTCAGTCAAATCCTGTCCGGTCCCCTGTGTGCATGGCACTATACAGCACACTGGTCTGAATACACCAAAGAGAAACCACATGAGTATTGGCCCCGTCCACCCCATTCCTATCTGTGTTATTACAGGATTGAATTGTAATTTGAAATTAAAAATTAATGTTGTTTTGGTACTTTAATACATTTATTACCTGAAATAAATTACATTTCTCTTTAAAAAAAAAACAGCCCTTGAATAAGATGGGTTTAAACTATGTGGGTCGACTTTTTTCAATGAAACATGGATCAGAAGATGCAGTATTCAGGGCATGTGAAACCCACATATAATGAGGGCAAACTGTTAATTTATGCGAGCTCTGTAGGGCTGACCCAGTGCTGGAACAAATTCCCTGGGTTTACCGAGGGACAGCTGTAAGTTGAAGACACACAGCTAATAAAAGGCAGAGTGTAGACTTAAAACCTGGTTTTCTAGCTAATACAGTCCATGCTTTTATACTACCTAAAGCTGGCTATTATGAAACAATAGTAATGCTAATTATTACAATAATAAGCCCACATAATAACAAAATGCAGTCATGATAAATTTGTTTTTTCCTTAATTAGGACAATTTTATTTTACAAAGGAAGATCACCAACACTTTCTTATTTCTAGCAGTGTTCAAGTACAAATATTTCCAAATAGTGCAGAATGATTACTACAATACTAGTAATCCTACAGTGTAAGATTTTTCGACTTTACAATGGTGCATAGGTGATGGGCACTCAGTAGACACCGCATTTTGAACTGAGCTCTTTGCCTGGGCTAGCAGCATGTGGTAGGAAGACTCTTGGGATGCAGATCGGGGCGGCCAGCCCCAGCTTCCAGGAAGCTGGGAAATCCAGGGGAATCAACCAACACCACACTCCACAGTGCGCTGTGTTCATGAATGACATGAGATATGCAATACTTTTTTATAAAAGGCTTCATATTAGATGATTCTGCCAATCATGGGCTAATGTAAGTGTTCTGGGTATATTTAAGGTAGGCGAGACCTGTGATGTTCTGTAGGTGAGATATATTAAATGCATTTTCCAATTACGATGGGTTTGTCAGGATGTAACCCTATTATGTCAAGTAGGAGCATCTGTACTAGTACTACTACTAATAAACTACTAGTAAAACGTGAGAGTTGTTTTTGCTGCTTTGGAAGTTGTTCCTTCTTAGCAAGCGGCAGCATTGTGGAAGCAAATGCAGATAATTTGGGGAAGATGCTGCCGTTCAGCCTCCCCTGGCTCAGCCATCTTCCTACCACTGGGGGAGGAGATCCGTGCTGGCAAAAGCTGGATCACACTTGTGGTTAGTTGCCACTAACTAAATCAGGCTTGGAAATAAGATCGTTTGTCACCAGAATACTTTAAATTATCTTCCTCATGCTGGACTCTGTCCTTGCAAAACTGAGTGAATTCTCCATGTTTCGTCTTCTCACCATGGGGCCAGATGGTCTTATCCACTCTAGTTCATGCTTTGGTGTCTAAAACACCAAAAGCAATGGCAACAAAAGCCAAAATTGACAAATGGGATCTAAGTAAACTAAAGAGCTTCTGCACTGGAAAAGAAACTATCATCAGAGTGAACAGGCAACTTACAGAATGGGAGAAAATTTTTGCAATCTACTCATCTGACAAAGGGCTAATATCCAGAATCTACAAAGAACTCAAACAAATTTACAAGAAAAAAACAAACAACCCTATCAAAATGTGGGTGAAGGATATGAACAGACAATTCTCAAAAGAAGACATTTATGCAGCCAAAAGACACATGAAAAAATGCTCACCATCACTGGCCATCAGAGAAATGCAAATCAAAACCACAATGAGATACCATCTCACACCAATTAGAATGGCAATCATTAAAAAGTCAGGAAACAACAGGTGCTGGAGAGGATGTGGAGAAAGAGGAACACTTTTACACTGTTGGTGGGACTGTAAACTAGTTCAGCCACTGTGGAAGTCAGTGTGGCGATTCCTCAGGGATCCAGAACTAGAAATACCATTTGACCCAGCCATCCCATTACTGGGTATATACCCAAAGGATTATAAATCATGCTGCTATAAAGACACACGCACACATATGTTTATTGTGGCACTATTCACAATAGCAAAGACTTGGAACCAACCCAAAAGTCCCACAATGATAGACTGGATTAAGAAAATGTGGCACATATACACCATGGAATACTATGCAGCCATAAAAATTGATGAGTTAATGTCCTTTGTAGGGATGTGGATGAAGCTGGAAACCATCATTCTCAGCAAACTATCGCAAGGACAAAAAAACAAACACCACATGTTCTCACTCATAGGTGGGAACTGAACAATGAGAACACTTGGACACAGGAAGGGGAACATCACACACCAGGGCCTGTTGTAGGGTAGGGGGAGGGGGGAGGGATAGCATTAGGAGATATACCTAATGTAAATGACGAGTTAATGGGTGCAGCACACCAACATGGCACATGTATACATATGTAAAAAACCAGCACATTGTGCACATGTACCCTAAAACAAAACAAAACAAAACAAAAAAAGAAGCCCTCACTTCTTTGAAACTACAGACCCATTTAGTTTGCAGAGTGTGCCGCCTTCTCGCTGCCAGGCAGGGCAGGGGTTTTCAGAATCTGAAGTCATTTCACTGCTTCTGGTTTGCCTCAGTAGTGAAGCATTCTGGGAAGATGTTCACAGGGGACTGGAGGCAGGTGGAGGGAACCAAACATACTCAAAACACGATCCATGCCTTCCTCCAAGGCTGTCGCTTGAGGTACACTTTTAGGAAAGTAGGAACAGAAACCAGAGTCGCTGAAGAATGGATTCCAAATGCTCTAAGATCTTTCACTTAAGCTGCAAATCAACTCACATCTTAGAATGTCATTTGAAAAACAGAAATCCCAGTGTTTGGAAGCCAAAGACATTGGTTGATAAATAATTTAACATGAGAAATACACTCATGTAGCTTTAGAACTGGAAAGACCATGAGAGGCTCTCAACTGATACCCACTGTGGTGTCAATGAGAAATCTAAGAACATTTAAATGAAGCTTGTTTACACTAAGGGGTTTTTGTTGTGGTTGTTTTCAACTGCATGTTTGCATGTCCTAATTTACTTATAAAGTATTATGTCTTTCGTTTCTATAATCAGTAAAATGGAATTTTTAAATTAAAATTCAAGGGAAATTGACTACTGGGATTCCCTTGAAGTCGTGCGTTTATGAAGTGATGTTGAGCTGATCCACTGTGAAAAAGCAGACTTTGGCTTGATGACAATGAGGCATTGTGTACGTGCTACACACAAGCCAGGAGAAGAGTGTGAATCTGTCATCCTGAGCAATGAGGAAAATGAACTCATCAGCAGTGATAGGAAAAAGCAGTCACTGGCCCAAAAAAGCAGGGAGAACTACGTAAAAAACAAATCAAGTGCCAGCCTCAAGTTCAGTATTGCTAAAACTCTCTCGCCACATTTCTGGTTAATGTTTTTGTGTCTCAAAAAATAGTTACCTTTGGTCTAGTTTTTTTTCTCATGGGAACAATGCTTTGCATTCACAAAAGTACCTCTTTCAAAAACTCTACGTTACAAATATATTATTAATCTTTTGTGTTGTACAGGTAGCTCCTGCCTCCTGGCTGGGTGCAAAATGCGTTTCTTTGTTTGTTTGTTTGTTTTTGTTTTTTTGAGATGGAGTCTTGCTGTCTCACCCAGGCTGGAGGGCAGTGGCGTGATCTCGGCTTACTGCAACGTCCACCTTCTGGTTTTAAACGATTCTCCTGCCTCAGCCTCCTGAGTAGCTGTGACTACAAGCACTCGCCACCAGGCCTGGCTAATTTTTATATTTTTGGTAGAGTCAGGATTTCCCCATGTTCGCCAGACTGGTCTCAATCTCCTGACCTTAGGTGACCCACCTTGCTCAGCCTCCCAACATGTTGGGATTACAGGCGTGAGCCACTGTGCCTGGGCAAAATGCACATTTGGACTGAATGAGGAAGCCCAAGCCCTTTCTACTGTGTTTTCAATTTTGTTTTTCTACTCTCCTCCCTCACCCTTCACTCTGCGGATCCCATCTATGCAGCGACTACTCCCATTCAACCTGCGTCTGCCCTGCTGACCCTCGGTGGTGTGGGTGGGCTGTGGCTGACCCTCGGTGGTGTGGGTGGGCTGTGGCTGACCCTCACTGGTGTAGCTGGGCTGTGGCTGACCCTCACTGGTGTAGGTGGGCTGTGGCTGACCCTCGGTGGTGTAGGTGGGCTGTGGCTGACCCTCACCGGTGTGGGTGGGCTGTGGCTGACCCTCACTGGTGTAGCTGGGCTGTGGCTGGCCCTCACTGGTGTAGGTGGGCTGTGGCTGACCCTCGGTGGTGTAGGTGGGCTGTGGCTGACCCTCACTGGTGTGGGTGGGCTGTGGCTGGCCCTCACTGGTGTGGGTGGGCTGTGGCTCGCCCTCACTGGTGTGGGTGGGCTGTGGCTGACCCTCGGTGGTGTGGGTGGGCTGTGGCTGACCCTCGGTGGTGTGGGTGAGCTGTGGCTGACCCTCACTGGTGTGGGTGGGCTGTGGCTGACCCTCGGTGGTGTAGCTGGGCTGTGGCTGACCCTCACTGGTGTGGGTGGGCTGTGGCTGACCCTCGGTGGTATAGGTGGGCTGTGGCTGACCCTCGATGGTGTGGGTGGGCTGTGGCTGACCCTCACTGGTGTAGCTGGGCTGTGGCTGACCCTCACTGGTGTGGGTGGGCTGTGGCTGACCCTCGGTGGTATAGGTGGGCTGTGGCTGACCCTCGATGGTGTGGGTGGGCTGTGGCTGACCCTCACTGGTGTGGGTGGGCTGTGGCTGACCCTCGGTGGTGTGGGTGGGCTGTGGCTGACCCTCACTGGTGTGGGTGGGCTGTGGCTGACCCTCGGTGGTATAGGTGGGCTGTGGCTGACCCTCACTGGTGTAGGTGGGCTGTGGCTAGCCCTCACTGGTGTAGGTGGGCTGTGGCTGACCCTCACTGGTGTGGGTGGGCTGTGGCTGACCCTCGGTGGTGTGGGTGGGCTGTGGCTGACCCTCACTGGTGTGGGTGGGCTGTGGCTGACCCTCGGTGGTGTGGGTGGGCTGTGGCTGACCCTCACTGGTGTGGGTGGGCTGTGGCTGACCCTCGGTGGTGTGGGTGGGCTGTGGCTGACCCTCACTGGTGTGGGTGGGCTGTGGCTGACCCTCGGTGGTGTGGGTGGGCTGTGGCTGACCCTCACTGGTGTAGGTGGGCTGTGGCTGACCCTCGGTGGTATAGGTGGGCTGTGGCTGACCCTCACTGGTGTAGGTGGGCTGTGGCTAGCCCTCACTGGTGTAGGTGGGCTGTGGCTGACCCTCACTGGTGTGGGTGGGCTGTGGCTGACCCTCGGTGGTGTGGGTGGGCTGTGGCTGACCCTCACTGGTGTGGGTGGGCTGTGGCTGACCCTCGGTGGTGTGGGTGGGCTGTGGCTCACCCTCACTGGTGTGGGTGGGCTGTGGCTGACCCTCACTGGTGTGGGTGGGCTGTGGCTGACCCTCGGTGGTGTGGGTGGGCTGTGGCTGACCCTCGGTGTTGTAGGTGGGCTGTGGCTGACCCTCACCCGGGTAGGTGGGCTGTGGTGATTAGAGCTAATGAGAGGATTGAGGAGACCGACATTCACTTCCAATTGCAGTTCCAAATTAACACCTTCTGCAGATACACATTCCAGAAATCTCATGCCCTGTACTTTCTTCTACACCGTTTTCTCTCCCCTTTGTTTCCATTCCAGCCATGCAGGAAGCAGCGTCTGTCCTGGCACATTGCGACATGTTGTCCATACCCGCTTGTTCTTCCCTGCCTGTGTTCTGGTAACACTGTGTTCACTGTTGAACTCTTCTAGGTATGCTTTCCCCCCACTCCAGTTGTTGGTGTTTTCTGTCTACATCCTCTTAGTCCTCTATAAATAGATACTTTTATGATACTCACGTGTTCCTTATTGAGTGTACAGTTGAGTACTGGTGAGTACATGCACATTGTTGTAAAACCAATCTCCAGAATTTTTCATCTTGGAAAACTGAAATGCTACACTCATTAAGCAACTCTCCCATATTCCCCTCCCCTAGGCCCTAAGAGCCACTGTTCTCAATGAAGACTTTCTGTCTCTATGAAGTTGACTACTCTAAGTACCTCATATCAGTGGAATCATAACATATTTATCTTTTTGTGACTGCCTTACTTCACTTAGCCTAATGTCCTCAAAGTTCACTCATGCTATGGTATGTATTAGAATTTTCTTCCTTCTTAAGGCTAAATAATATTCCAGTGCATGACTATACCACATTTTCTTTATCCAATCATTCACTGATGGCCACATGGATTCTTTCCAGCTCGTGGCTATTGTGAATAATTCTGCTCTGAACATGAGTGTACAAATATCTCTTCCACACCCTGCTTTGGTTTCTTTCGGGTATATATCCAAAAGTGAAATTTCTGCATCATATGGTAATTCTAGTTTTAATTTTTTAAGGAATCATCATAATGTTTCCATAGCTGTTGAGCCATTTTAAATTCCCACCAGAAGCATGCAAGGATTTCAGTTTTTCCATTTCTCTCCTGTACCCATTGTTTTCTGTTTTTTGTCTTTGTTTTTGATAGTAGTTATTCTAATGGATAAGATAAAAACGTTGTGTGTTATTTTAGTTGTCTGTTTGTTGTCTGGCACTAACTTCCTTCTGCAGAGAACCATGCCTTTGCAACTGAACTCCCTCATCTTTATGTCACTACTGTCTAATTACATGCCTGAAACATAGTATGTCCTCAAAAACAGCTGTTCAAAGAATAAATGTTGCTACTGGTAAAAATTGCTATAAAATTGCAAAAGAGCTTTAAGCTTCTTCAGCAAAGGAAAGGCAGGTGACCCACTAAATCATTTTCTCCAGTGGGCCGAGGAGTAGAGAAGTCACGGCTGGGAGCTTCAGATGGCAGCAGTGAAAAGAGGAGCAGACAGACCAGTCCCCATGGCCCTTTTGAGGAAAAATGGAGAGTGGGAATATAACCGGGGGCTGACCTAAGACCAAGAGAGAGCCTTGAGGTTTTTCTTAGAGGAAAATCCTATCTGCCATCACCCTCAGTCCCTAATTTCCAGGCCTCTCCATCTCCACTTACCTGGGCACACTTCAGGATCTCCCCGCTCCAGCCATGGGCGCCATTGGGTATGCAGCATGGGGCTGCTTCTGTGTTCCGGGCACCCAAAGTCAGAACACAACTGCACGATATCCTTTAATTCGGCTTTTGTTATCCAAACAATCTTGGAACATAGCCCACTGGCAAATTGGAGAATGCTGTCATCCCTATCACAGTTTTATTTATCACAACACCTATATTCATAAAATAGATAAATCATGTTGCAAGATGAAAGAGTATATCCCTAAGCTCTTGGCTCCACTCTATTCTGGAGCTTGGCCTTGTGAACTTTATCAGCAACTTAAAGAGGTATTTTGCATATTTCATTGTCAAGGTGTAAATATATTCCTTTTCTGCAGCTCGATTTTTCTAAGGAAGCCTAATTCCTTGGTTTATATTTCTTTTCTTATTATCTCCTGGAGTATGGTTAGGTCTGGAACTTCCTATTACTCAATGTTGCGCACTTTTAAACCACAGGTCTTCCCGTTCTTTAAGTAATTACAGGTCTCTTTTACAATAAACTCTTCCCAACTTGTTACCAATCTATATTTTTATCTTTGTTTGGTTCTGCTTTTAAATTGTTTCAGCAATGCTAATTATAAGAAAAAGATAAGGTCTGCTTGCTGTTCTTCCTCACAGCAGCTCGGAAAATGAACTGCAGCATTCTACTTTCCTATTTGTGCAGGTAATGATGTATTCATTGTGGCAAAGTCTTCACAGATAACAAAAACTACATGCTCTTTGCAGATGTGCTAATTATCTCATCTTGATCAAGAAAAAATTCAGAATTGGCTTCCAACTAAGCAGTTTAATTTACACCCATATTTGATGCTGGCATGAAGCCTGGGCTATTTTATGTTACTTTATTTTTTGGCTAGGAAATTAAGATAGTCTGGAAAATTGTTATTAAGAAATGCTTAAAACAGCCTATATATAAGATTCATTGTGGAAGGTCACCCCTGGTTAAGTTATAATGCAGATGTAAATGCAGAGAGATGGTGAGAAAACCAAAAGGCAAACAGGATGAATGGAACGGTTTGCTGTATTCAACTTGAGTAATGGAAACTAACTCAATCTATTTTGGACGTGCAGAGATAACTCTTATTAAATGACTATTTGGACCAAAAAGGAGCAAACTATATATTTTTAAGACATAAAAGCTACATCATTTCTTGGCAACTGAAAGAGGCCAACATTTTCATGGTGTTCCATTCATTTCTTTCTTTATACTTTTACAGCATTAAGACCAGTATTGTTAGCAATTGCAGACTACTTTTACTAGACTCTGTTACTTTTGATCACAGTTCTTTCTAATTTTCTGACAGAATATCTAGTTATGAAATGTGGCATAAAACTATATTCTTGGAGAAAAAAACCTTGGTTTTTAATCTTAACTTACGTATTTCAACCTGAAGACAATCACTGGATATGATTTATATGTATAAAATAAGACTTTCAATATCATAAAATATTGCAACTTATAAACCAAAATGGTTTGTTGTTAGAGAAAAGATGAAGGAGAGAAAGAGCTTGTCTTTCTGTGTTCTGTTAGTGGGAATCTGACTTTTCTTCAATTTCTACCTATTGATGTTTTCAACATAGAGAAAACTGGCTTGGTTTTGCTTCTAACACATAAAAATATTAAGTCAAGTAATCCACATTTTTCTCACCCTCTTTCTCTCCTAGTCATCTGTGCAAACACATAAACTTCCATAAGTTGGTGAGGTGTATAATGTGAAGACCAAAGCATCGATGAGTCCGTCATGCCAGGTTGCTCTGGATATTGGTACTTCTGGGTTAAAAAAATGATAAAAGTAGGATATGGAGCTTCAAGTAAAATTCAAGTCTTTCGGGTTCCAATCAAAACTTCTTTTCACTAAAACACTCTTGCCCTATTGCCTTGGGCAAGGCTTTCTACTTTTATAAGTCTCTGTCTCATTTTCAAAGTTAGTATAATATATTATCTAAACCCACTCATTGGGTAGCTTTTTGCCATAAAACTCACATTTACATGAAAGTATACTGTAAAACAGAAATATAAGATCTTTCCCCTTGGAAATAATAGAAATCTGAATATGCACATGCTCCTTACACTGCTGTGGGAATCAGGCCTTGCTGTTACTGGATGACGATAATAATAATAACTTGTGAAAGCCTCCAAGTGGAAAGAAGAGAGACTAATTCCTGTGCCAGCCTAGATGTGTCCCAGCCTAGACGCGTGGCCAGCCTAGATGCGTGGCCAGCCTAGACGTGTGCAAGCTTAGACATGTGCAAGCCTAGACGCATGGTCAGCCTAGACGTGTGCCAGCCTAGACGTGTGCCCAGCCTAGATGTGTGCAAGCCTAGATGCGTGGCCAGCCTAGATGTGTGCCAGCCTAGACGTGTGCAAGCCGAGATGTGTGCAAGCCTAGACATGTGCCAGCCTAGACGCGTGGCCAGCCTAGATGTGTGCCAGCCTAGACGTGCGGCCAGCCTAGACATGTGCAAGCCTAGATGCGTGGCCAGCCTAGATGTGTGCCAGCCTAGACGTGCAGCCAGCCTAGACATGTGCAAGCCTAGACACGTGGCCAGCCTAGATGTGTCCCAGCCTAGAAGCGTGGCCAGCCTAGACGTGTGCCAGCCTAGACGTGTGCCAGCCTAGACGTGTGCCCAGCCTAGATGTGTGCAAGCCTAGACGCGTGGCCAGCCTAGATGTGTGCCAGCCTAGATGTGTGCCAGCCTAGATGTGTGCAAGCCTAGACGCATGGCCAGCCTAGATGTGTGCCAGCCTAGACGTGCAGCCAGCCTAGACGTGTGCAAGCCTAGACGTGTGGCCAGCCTAGATGTGTGCCAGCCTAGACGTGCGGCCAGCCTAGACGTGTGCAAGCCTAGACGCGTGGCCAGCCTAGATGTATGCCAGCCTAGACGTGCGGCCAGCCTAGACGTGTGCCAGCCTAGACTTGTGGCCAGCCTAGACGTGTGCAAGCCTAGACGTGTGGCCAGCCTAGATGTGTGCCAGCCTAGACGTGCGGCCAGCCTAGACGTGTGCAAGCCTACACGCGTGGCCAGCCTAGATGTATGCCAGCCTAGACTTGTGGCCAGCCTAGACGTGTGCCAGCCTAGATGTGTGGCCAGCCTAGACGCGTGGTCAGCCTAGACGCATGGCCGGCCTAGATGTGTGCCCAGCCTAGACTTGTGGCCGGCCTAGATGTGTGCACTTGGCTTGTGTTCCGGTCAGAAAGTCCCTGGCTGGAGCTTGTGCCGGTTCCTGGTCCTGGAACCAGGTGATTGCTGCTCTGCTGCTCTGCCACAAGAAGGAGGATGTCCGTCGTAAACTGCACCTGATGCCTGGGCCATGCACCTCTCTCAGTCCTCAGCAGGGTTTTTTGTCGATTCTAAAGTCCACAATGCCACAGGACATTCTTAATGTCCACATATGTAGTGCCCAGAAGTGGAAGGGGTGTGACACCTCATGGGTGAAATCTGACCAAGGGAAGACAGTTACTAGCAGATAAATTGTGGTGCTTTCCATTCTCTGGATGGGCTGTTTGGAGGAGCAGCACCTTCTGGTGGCTTCTCTAGTGACATTCAGAGGGACACTGCTGTGACCAGCTCAGTGACACTCCCTTTGACTTGCTGTCCCTCCTTCCCTGCCTCACTTTGTCCCTCACTTGTGTGTCTGAGCTGCACTCATCCTCAGGCGTAGCCCCTCCTATTTCCCTCGAGCAGGGTTTTCTAGGGACACAGGTAGAGACAGTGCCAAACTAGAATAAGCAAAAGATCAATGACGGACTAAAGGCCCAGTTTAAAATAGAAATTACGAGTGGATATTCAGTCAGCAAAACATGATTTTCCTCCAGCATTGTAGGAACAGCCGCAGAGGAAACGGAGTTAGACTCATCTACTCACTTAACAATCCGGGGTCCCCTGTGTGTCCCTCACCAGACTAGTCATCAGGGATTCCAAGATATAAAAAAATAACCCTTGGGTTCCAGTCAGTCCTTCTTTAGGGATTAACATTATACACTGGAATTTCATGTCTAAATATCTCCATGCAGTTGAAGTAGTGTTTCTGAAGAGTATAAAGGGCAAAAAATAATATGTGAGAAGATGAGGAAAAAGCTGAAGGTACAGATAACATCAGAGAAGTCACTAAGGAGGGGAAACAGGCAGCGTGGTTCAGAGGAAGGATGTCAGAACACGTTTCCGAGATTAAGCTCTTCTGCTGACAGCGAAGTCCAGAGCATCAGCATAAGGGCAAGTGGCAGTGACAGGGCAGAGATGGAGATTATCTGAGCAGAGAAATTCTCAGAGCAATTCACTCGATGTGGCGGATGACTCCCCACTGCAAACTGAAACCTGCAGGGAGTAAAACAAAGGCTATGGGCCACCTGAGTGTTTGCTCTTCCCTCAATGCAGCTGAGCTGGGAACAGTCCAGAACTGAGAAGAGAGAGCGCTAAGTCCACCAACCGCTCAATTAAAACGGCCTGCGCCAGCCCAGTGATGGGTGGGACGAGATTTTTACAGACCTGGTGAGAAGCGACACCAACAGGAAAAATAGCATGTAGGGATGAGGGAAAGTTGGGAAGAAGTGATTAGGAAACAAGACGGAAGATTCAGTTCTGCGTAGCAAGTGCAGCTCTGCAATGGGGGGCGAATCAGAGCCGGGGGGCCACAGAGCAGCAGAGCAGGGCACTGCGTGCGCAGGTGAGGGAGGTGCAGGCAGGAATGGCTGCTGCTGTGAACACCAGGGTGGCCTTTCCCATGCTCTGGCTAAATGACATGCAGGACCATGCAAGACCATGCAAAACCATGCAGGGCTAGTGTTACTGCT
Source organism: Homo sapiens (assembly GCF_000001405.40). NCBI lineage: Eukaryota > Metazoa > Chordata > Mammalia > Primates > Hominidae > Homo > Homo sapiens. The sequence continues at coordinate 136,554 of NT_187679.1, forward strand.
TTATCTAATTGTGCCATTTGCTTCCGTAAACAATAACAAACCCCTCAAGCCCAGAGATACCTTATCTTACCAAGAGAACAGGAGCCGTCCTGGACAGCCGTGCTGGGCTCTGATGTTCTGGTCACAGAACCCTGCTCTGCCCCTTCTAAGCCTCCTGGCATCAGGGAGTTGGGAAGCCTGGAAGCTGCACCCACCAGCACCCCTGGCTGGCAGAGCCGCCCACGAGAAACCCTCGTGAAGGATTTGGAATGGAGAAGAGAGGCAAAGCCACATTCACACACCTCTGGGAGTGGCAGGCGAACAGGCAGGCAAATGGCACACGTGGGGTTTCTGTGGTGGCTTCCGAGTGCTCTGAAAACCACCTTCTTAAGTACTGAAGAAAAATCTTATCATCAGTGTCAGTTTTCTGGATCTGTGACCCTTTGATCTCGGAAAACTTGGCGTGCAGCTGAGAGTTCACACCCCTGCCCTGGCCTTCTCTCTCCCAGCACTTCACAAGGATCTCTGGGATGTTTGAAGGCATTTAATTCCCTGTATTAAATATCATCCTGCTTAAAAAACCAAGAGCGAATGCTGTTTGTGGACATAACTCTTGCTGATATACATTTTTTTTTCTTTCTACTACCCATTTTAACTTGGAAACTGGCTATCTTTTAGTTCACTAGTAAGTTTTCAAAACACTTTTTTCATTTACTGTATGTTTTTATCTTACTATTTTCAGTGAAAGTGCCAGAGATTAGACATAACAATAAGATGCCTCTGAAATATAAAAATTATATTATTGGAATTTGTTGATATATTGTTTTTGCTATTACCAAATCAAATGCATTAATAATATACTTGTTTCCATGGGGTAAATCCACTTTTAATAGTTTTGGACCAAATTTCTTCACTGTGTAACTTAATAAAAGCCATAAAATTCAGGAACTGGTGCTTTTGCAATAGGTGAGAGGAAAGAAGTTAATGGCTGTGGCTGCTCTGGCATAAAAGCAATACTTTCCACCTCTTTCCAGGGAATGCTGCTGGATTCAGGAAATAAGCACTGAGACACTTCATCAAGAATATCGTAAAAACTGTTCATTAACATTGTAATTATTCTTGTAATTTTAGTCATAATTTTAATTCATTTCCATTACTTAAGCTGAAAGTGCCAAATTACCCTTTAAGCATTTCTTTATTTTTCTCACCTTTCTATTAGAAAAATGTTAATGATCTTTATTACTGTTTCTGATATTTAAGAAGAAACAGCGGGGGGTTATAAGTTCATAAGCATCTTTAAAGCTACAAGCCAGAGAGTTTTACCCAATTCGAAGAAGTCCAGGTCATTCTGCACAGAGAAGGATGCAGCCGATGCACCCCAGTGGCTCTCCAGGGCCAGCCTTCAGCCTCAGCACCACGGTGGCCAGCCCGGGGCCTGACCTGGGGTCCCTGGCTTACAGGGTTCTGAGTTGCGTCTAGAATTCTGCCTCTTGCCTGCATAAGCATCAGACGACCTCATGTCATAATCATCGTTCAGCTTCTCTGAGCACATAGCAAGAAAAACCACATCGTTGGCACAGTGGGAATGGGGGACAAGCTGGGGAAAGTTTTCCACTTCTGGAAATGCATGCAGAGGAGTCCAGAGGGAGGGGATGAGAAGCACCGCCTGCCCTGGCTGCAGCAGCATTGAAGCCATCATCACCAGTTCTATGAAAACTTTCAAGGTCAACAATGAGCAAATGAACTGGTATTTTTGTGTTTTGGGCTACAACATTTCTATAACCCTAAAAATTACCTTGAGCTAAATACAGGAAGAAAGGAAAAGCGCTCATGGATACACTAGCAAAAAACTTCAAGAGTAATCTGTGTGGTCACCTTTTCTACCTCAAAGAGCACTCACCATGAAATAGAACCGATAAACCCACGTTCAGGGTGTCCACCATGAAATAGAACCGATAAACCCACGTTCAGGGTGTCCACCATGAAATAGAACTGATAAACCCACGTTCAGGGTGTCCACTATGAAATAGAACCGATAAACCCACGTTCAGAGTGTCCACTATTAAATAGAACTGATAAACCCATGTATGAAATAGAACCGATAAACCCAGGTTCAGGGTTTCCACTATGAAATAGAACTGATAAACCCCACTTTCAGGGTGTCCACTATGAAATAGAACCGATAAACCCACGTTCAGGGTGTCCACCATGAAATAGAACCGATAAACCCACGTTCAGGGTGTCCACTATGAAATAGAACTGATAAACCCACGTTCAGAGTGTACACTATGAAATAGAACCTAAAAACCCACGTTCAGAGTGTCCACTATGAAACAGAACTGATAAACCCACGTTCAGAGTGTACACTATGAAATAGAACCGATAAACCCACGTTCAGGGCGTCCACTATGAAATAGAAACGTTAAACCCACGTTCAGGGTGTCCACTATGAAATAGAACGGATAAACCGACGTTCAGAGTGTACACTATGAAATAGAACCGATAAACCCCACGTTCAGAGTGTACACTATGAAATAGAACCAATAAACCCCACGTTCAGAGTGTACACTATGAAATAGAACCGATAAATCCACGTTCAGAGTGTACACTATGAAATAGAACCGATAAACCCACGTTCAGAGTGTACACTATGAAATAGAACCGATAAACCCACGTTCAGAGTGTACACTATGACATAGAACTGATAAACCCACGTTCAGAGTGTACACTCTCCTGCTAGGTCAAGTGGCCAGAGTGAGATCCTTTTTTGTAATGGATGTCATTGACTTCGGGGGTCATTAAAATTTTTAACATGGCCAGGTACAATAGCTCATGACTGCAATGTCAGCACTTTGGGAGGCTGAGGTGGGAAGATTGCTTGAGTTCAGGAGTTCCTGACCAGCCTGGGCAGCATAGAGAGACTCCATCTTTATCCTCCACAAAAAGGAAAAACCAGAAGATTCTAGCAATGAAGAACTTAAGGGAAGCTTAAAACAAGACGCTTTCTGTTGTATTTACTCCATTATCAACCCAATTACATATTACTCACAAAGGCATTTTAAATAACAATAATATTAACAAAGTATTTGCTATCATGGCTAAATAATCTGTAAAAGAATAATGATATCCCATAAAAAAGAATAAAGGGGCCACCAAAAGAACCAACTTTCTCTTTATGGGATCCTTTTTTATATACAATCCATATGTAGACCATGTTTCAGGTTTTTAAATAATATAATTCTCTTCCACTGTTAACAAGGCCAGGCACCATGGCACTATTCTCCATTCCTTGGGAAGCTGGTGGGTGAAAATCTGGTCTGCAGAGTCTCTCTCTAGAACACAGGAAGTTCCTAGGACTTACCATGTAATTAATTTTGCCAAAAGTAGAGTAGAATAGAGAAAAGATGAGCTAGAGAGACGTACAGAGGTTCTCAGTGAGCTCAACTCCATGAGAGAGCTGCTCTCCCACATAATAAAAGGCATTAATTTAGTGGCTGCCATCATCAAGACAGAAGAGACATCAAGAGGCTTCCTGTCAAAGGCATGCAGGTTTTTCTCCCTTTAACTGTTTAAATATGAAATGTTCCTCCAGTAAGTCACAAACACATACTCAACCATAGTTTCATACATATCCATTTAACTATTTTTGCATGTGGATTTTATATTTAATTAAAATTTCTATAAATTTAGGACAATATCCATTTTATTAAAATTGAACTGTAGCCAGCCCAACACTCCATAAAGATGAGCATTCAGAAAGCATGTTTGACAGTGACTTTGAATTTTAAATTGTAGAATTTTTATGGTCGGACTTAACACAGTAGTCTTCCTTATCCTCAGCCTCCAGCTTAATAACCCAGCTCAGTCCTCCCACTTTTTTGGCACCTATCTACATAAATGCTAACTGAATAGATGAAAGGGTGAATGAACAGTGGAGCCTACGCTATCACATCTCATCCTATTCAAACGCTTTTCCTCAGAGACTCTGTCACTTACTTCTACGACTAATCTAACGTCCTGGAAGAATTTTAGCTCCAATAACCCATGATGTAAGACAGGCATTTCCTATTTATCAAAAAGTGCCTTAGACTTCTCTCACACTTATGATGCCTAAGTTCAAACCATATGAAGCCACCACAGCACATGTAACTGCACATTTTAAAGCTGATTTGCTGAGAGTAATTCACAAACCCACAGTGAATTTTTTATTCACAACTTCTAGATCTGAAATATAAAAACCTTATCTCCTAGTACATGAAACTGTGCTAATACAATTTATTAAATTAGTTCAACTAGCATTTCCTTCAAAATAATTGACAATAAATTAAACTGGGTGCCCCTCTTTTCCATTCTGTGTTCAGCTGCCAAATCTGCTCAGCTTTCTGTGTCTAAAACGCTTACCAGATATGACTCCATTGTGATTAGATGCCTCCATTCCAGTGGACTTTATTAAATTAGAATACAAGATAGCTGTCACTCTCTGAAGGATACAAGTAAGAGCAAGTCTTGAACGAGCCTCTTTAAACCATCACGATATAAATAGGCCATATTTCCAGGGTGACAGAGCAAGTAAAGGATTTCAAAGATGAGTAGGGAAAGCCCAAGTTAGCTAATAAATGACGTTCATTCATTAGGAAATGGTATCTGCAAACTATTCAAAAATCCCCTTCACTAAATAAGTCATGGACTGCGTTTCTGTTCGCAAGCCAGCCTAACACAAGGTGATGACGTCCTCACACAAAACTTGCCCCAAATCCCCGTGGTTTACCACATGTCTTTAGATGACTGAGAATGAGAAAGGCAGAGAGAGTTAATTCCTGATTTACATATTCTGCTAATAAAGTGGCAAGGTCTTATGGAACAAACACGGCAGATGTAATTATGTAATTACGTATCTGTATGCAAATGTGCCGACGGCTCATAAATGCTGGAACGCTATTTGCAATGCTAATTAAGTGGCTTTTATTGAGGCTGCATAATTCCTACGTGTGATTTGGTTCCAGATGTCATTATAGCTTGTGAAACCTTTATTGTCAGGTTAGCTGAGGTGGCACACATTAACACCACTCATAAAACCTCTATTTATAATTAAATTATTTGCAATGACTCAGTGATTTTCATCATCCCCTGGCCACCTCTGTACTCACATAGCATAGAGATGGAATCGCGACTGGAAGCCGGAACCCAGGAACATTTCTCCGCGTCTACGTTCCCACGCAGGTGGCTAATCTGCTTAATCTCACCCACGTAAACCACGTTGAAGTGTCTAATGAGCATGGGAAACAGATCACAACTGAGGCCAATGTGGAATTGTTGGCAGATGCCATAAGGTTTTATTTTAGATTTTATAGCTATCAAAGAAGAATAATTCGTTTTGCTGTAATCTCATATCAGTATTTGATAGCCTGAAGAATTACTCTTTCATTTATAATAATACAAAATGTTTTGAGATCATACAGTAAGGAGTTGGTACCATACTTTTTAATTTGTAAGTAAGAAAAAAGTGAAACTAAGAAAATATAGATATTGGACACTCATTATGTTCACAGCATTGCAGGGACTACAAGAAAACATAATACATGGGCTTCCAAATAGCTCATAAACAGTTTACTATGCAACACATAAAAAATGTTTACAATAACATATAAGAATATGAGACCTGGTTGTTCATCTGGAACTAAAACAGATAAATGAAATCAGAGAGAATCCTCATAACTATTTTAATCTAATGATTTACTTCAGCCTTTTCTCCTACCAAAACTTTCATCAGAACTCCTAATAGTGTAAGAAATATGACCTGGTATTTTCACTGCTTCTTTCTAGTTCTTGTAAGAAGAATCAGAGAAATTATTCAACCAGTCCCTGATGTTGTAAGGGCTGTTTCCTTTAGATGATGGCAGAATGCACATATCCCATAAACCACTGTAAGCAGAGAAACTACCTTATGTAACAAGCACAGAGAGGGGACTTTCCTGGTTCTTGGAGATGCTGTTATGATCCCAAAATAAAACTAAAGCACTGATTAGCTCCCTACTCTAAAGATGAGGGCCTCAAACCCCTGGAACTTCCTGGCAGGGCTTCGTAAGAGGCAGCAGAACTGGCAATCCTACCATTAACCACCACCCACCCCACCAGAACTTCCCCAGCCCACAAAGGCAACCAAAGAGGATGAGTTCCCCTTTAGAGCAATGAGGAGTCAATGTACTAATTCTCAGCAAGGCAGGAAGGCTTTGAATCTGATGGAGCACAGGAAAGGGAAGCCTGAACATCATTACTTGGCTTGATACTCGCACAGATGGAGGTGCAGCTACTGCTGCCCAGGGCAGAGCTGGATGGGAGAGCCCCAGGAGAGCTTGGCCTCTACAACCCGAGAGCGTGAGCACATGTGAACATAAAGATGACTGCTAATTTCTCAGCTAGAGAGCAAGCCAACGGGATCTGATGGGACATGTTACATCCTACAGGAAAGAAGGGGATGGGGTCATTCCCTGTCACAGCTTCCCACGGCACTGGGAGGGCCTAGACAAGGCCATTGGTGGCTCCCACAACCCATGTGAATGCACAGGGATGCTCGAGGAGAAGGCACTCTGGTGTCACCAGGTAAAGATGCTCCAACCCAGGGACAAGGACATGGGGCCAGAGCCCTGGGGACGCTAAAGGAAAACTAGGCTGGGGAGAGGGGCTTAGGCGAAGCTGAATGCTGGACTAAGATGGGTGTGTACCCCACATGCGCAGACATCGCCAAATGGACCAAAGCCACCAACATTAGAACAACCCAGAGCAAAGTGCAGCGAGAACAAGGTTGGCTCCTCTGCACTAACCCTCCGCACTGACCCTCTGCACTGACGTGCACCTGTGAGGAAGAAGATCCTTCAGTTCCCTCACTGGTCCTCTCCCTGCCCCTGCCCCAGCATCACAGGAGCTAGCCCTAAAAGGAAAGTCGTGCAGCTGGAGGGATCTCAAAGCCAGACCATACCCAGCCCACAACTACACACACACACTCACATACACATACACACTTACACACTCTCTCACACACAGACTTACTCTCTCACACACACTTACACACTCACACATTCTCACACACACACATACACTGCCACATGTATGCACACAATCATGCACATTCAGACACATACACACACGCTTACACACACACAGACACATATATAATCACACTCTCACACTGTCACACACACACAAACATACACACTCTCACACACTCACACACACACGCAGACATATACACACACTCTCACAGACACACATACACACACTCACATACTCTCACACACACACGCCCTCACACAATACACTGACACATATATACACATATACACAATCACTCATGCACTCACTGACACACATACACACACTCACACATTTACACACATACACACCCACACACACATACACATACACTCAAACACACACACACCCCTACAACATTCACAGAGCAAAGGTCACCAGCAAAGCTCCAATTGCCAGAGGGGTGAATTTTGACTGGTCTATCAATATGAGCTTCATATTCCAAATAAACCTGGATTACATTCTAGGAAGCAGAAGTCACTAGACACTGGAATGTGTTATTAACGGGTAGGGAGAATAGATTTAATATGAGACACTGGAAAATCCTTACAGAAAAAATCAATTTTACTTTATACCCCAATCATATGAGAATTGGGAATCCTGACATCCTAAGCTTACATCTCCTTCTCGTCCTTTCCTCAGCCCACTTCGTTACTGCTTTTCAAACGTTCTGCTCATGCAGACCAGCAATGCCCCGAGGTTGAAAATAACAGAAAGTTTTAAAAATCAAAAGGTCATTACACTTTTTAAAAACTGAGAAAAAATTCACATACCCTAATATTCACGTATTTAAAGCCCAGGTCTGGTCTGGTTCTCTGTGAGGCAGAAGGCTTTTGTCCACGTGGAGATGTTTGCACAGCAGGTGTCCACACTTTGCTCCGTCCGGTGTCCAGCTTCGCCTTGGCCCCTCTCTCACTGACAGGAGGGGAGCCTCGTTTTTTTGTCACCATCGGTGGTTCTTGTATCCATGTCTCTGTCCCTGGTTTCAAAGCCTCATCACCTGGTAGCACAAAAGAACCCTGCAATTCGATAATTTTTTATATATTCACAGAGTTGTGCCACCATCGCTACAACATGTTATAATATTTTTATCACCCCAAAAAGAACGCCCCCGCCCATTAGCAGCCACTCTCCATTTTCCCCAGTCCTCACCCTTAGGCAAACACTAATGTACACTCTGTCTCCATCATTTGCCCATCCTGGACATGTTATATGAAAGAAATCATACAACATGTGGCCTTTTGTGTCTGGTTTCTTTTTCTTAGTACAGGTTGAGTATCTCTTATCTGAAATGCTTGGGACCAGAAGTGCTTCAGATTGTGGCATTTTTCAGATTTTGGAATATTTGCAAATACCTTATGAAATATCCTTGGGATGTGACCCAAGTCTAAACACAAAACTCACTTATGTTTTATATATACCTTATATAGGTATTTAGAAGGTAAATTTATTTTTCCCTTGGGGATGCTGAAGAAACTGTGCATTGTGCATTTGGGTTTTCACTGCAACCTGTCTGGTGTGGAATTTTTCACTTGTGACATGTCGGTGCTCAAAAAGTTCAGATTTTGAAGCTTTTCATATTTCAAATTTTCATATTAGGGATCCTCAATCTGTATAATGTTTACAAAGTTCACACATGTTGTAACACATATCAATATTTTTAACAAATAATATTCCATTGCTTTGATCCATCGTTTTGTTGATTCATCAGTTAATGGACATTGGTGGTGGTTCCACTTTTTGACTATTATGAATATTGATGCTATGAATATCCACATGTGAGTATTTGTGTGACCACATGTGAGTATTTGTGTGACCACATGTGCGTATTTGTGTGACCACATGTGAATATTTGTGTGACCACATGTGAGTATTTGTGTGACCACATGTGAATATTTGTGTGGCCACATGTTTTCATTTCTCTTGGATATGTACCTAGGAAAAGCATCATAGGATCAAATAGCAACTCTGTGCTTAACATTGTGAGAAAATGTCACACTGTTTTTCAAAGTGGCAGCACCATTTCACACTCCTCAGCAATGCCTGGGAGCTTCAGTTTCTTCCTATCCTCCTCAAGATGTCTGACTGTACATCCTTCTAGATGTAACGTGGAATCCCATGGTGATTTTGATTGACATTTTCCTAATGACTAATGATGTTAAGCATTGTTCATGGGCTTGTTATTTGTGTTTATTCTTAAGAAATATACGTCCTAAATCTCTTACTAATTTTTAATTGGGTTGTTGGTCCAATTTACCTAATTACCAAATCACCAAATTAAAAAGTCCAATTTGCCTAAAAGTCAAAAAAATTACTTCTATGCTTTCTTCTAATGTTTTACACATTTAGCTCTAACATTTATGTCTCTGAAATATTTTATGTTTTTTTCTTTTGAATAGCGTGAGTTAGGGATCCAGGTTTACTATTTTGCATGTGGCTATCTAGCGGTTCTGGCACTATTTGCTGAAAATATTTCTCTTTCTCAGTTGAATTATCTTGGAACCCTTGTTAAAAATCAATTGGCCATACTGTAGAGAATCATTTCTGGACTCTCAACTCTATTCTGTCCAACTATATTTTTATGCTGGTATTATACTGCCTTGAATTCTGTAGCTTGCAGAAAGTTTCAAAATCAGAAAAATGTGAATAATTTAATTTTGTTCTTCACTTTTAAGAATGCTTTAGTTATTTGCGTCTTTGCATTTCCATATGAATTTGATTATCAGCTTTTCCATTTTTGTAAAAAATCCAGAAAAATTGTATATTTTCATTGAATCTGTAAATCAATTTGAGTAATATGCTTATCTAAGTAATATTAAATCTTCCACTTAAGAAATACAGAATGCCCTTCTATTTACACAGGTCTTCTTACACTTTTTCAACAAGGTTCTGCAGTTTTCACTGTGCAAGTTCTACGCTCCTTTTGTTACATTTATTCCTAAACATTCTCTTTTTTAATGCTAATGTAAGTAGAAGTGTTGTTAACATTTTATTTCCAGATTGTTCATTGCTAGTGCATAGAAATGCAACTAATTTATCATATTGATCTCAGCTATACTTGTATGTTAGGCCTGTTCTTTACTGGATTCCTTAGGATTTTCTATATACAAGTTCATGTCATCTACAAACACAAGTAGTTTTACTTCTTCCTTTCCAATATGATTGTCTTTTATTTCTTTCCCTTGCCTAATTGACCTGGGTAGAACCTCCAGTACAATGTTGAGCTGAAGTGGCTGGAGTGGGTATCCTGTCTTGTTCTGATCTTCAGAGAAAGCATTCACTCCTTCCATCATTAAATATGGTGTAAGTTGAGTGTTTTTCAAAGATGCCCTTTATCACGTTGAGAACATTTCCTTCATTACTAGTTGGTTATTTTTTTTTTTATCATGAAAAGGTGTTGGTTCTTGTCAAGCATTTTTTCTACATCTATTGAGATAAGCATGTAGTCTTTGTCATTTATTCTGTATGTATAATATGATACACTATAATGATTGATTTTTGAATTCTAAACAAGTCTAGTATTCCTGGAATAAGTGCCCTTTGGTTATGGTGTAAAAACCATTTTATGTGGTGCTAGATTTGGTTGCTAGGATTTTGCTAAAGGTTTTGCATCTATTTTAAAAGGAATGTTGCTCTGGCATTTTTAAATAATATTTTGTCTAGTTTTAATATCAGGGTGGTCTTAACTCATAGAATTGAGTTCTCTCCTATTTTTTGAAAGAACTCATAAAGGGCTGGGTATTAATTTTTTATAAATTGTGTAAAACTAATAAAAGTCATCTGAGCCTGAGCTTTTCTCTGTGACAAGTTTTTTTAAATTACTAGCTGGATCACATTACTTACTATATGTCTATTCAGATTTTTTAATTTCTTTTTGAGTTAGTTTCAGTAGTTTCTATTTTTCTACAAATTCGTCAGTTTTCTGTAAGTTGCACAATATGTTGGTATAGAGTTCTTCACACTACTCCTTTATTGTCCTTTTTATTTCTGCAAGGTTGGTAGAGATGCCCCCTCTTTCATTACTCAATTTATTAAGTTGAATCTTATCTCCCTTTTTCTCATTATTTATTTGTGTGGATTAAAGTTACCATCTAGCATCCTTTTGTTTCAGCCGGAAGGACTGTCTTTATTATTATTATTATTCTTTGTCAGATAAATCTGCTATCAATGAATTATCTGTTTTTATCTGGAAATGTCTTAAATCTTCATTTTAAAAGTATTGTTTTTGCTGAATATAGATATTTTGGTTGGTCTTTGTTGTTATTTTGAATATGCCCACCTGTTGTCTTCTGTCCTTCATGGTTTGCGATGAGAAGTCAGCTCTCAACCTTGGTGAGAATCCCTTGTACAGGATGAATCAGCGTGTGTGTGTGTGCGTGTGTGCGTGTGTGTGTGTGTGTGTGCGTGTGTGTGTGTGTGTGTGCTGTTTTCAAGGTTCTTTCTACTTGGATATATACATGAATGTTTTTCATTAAATTTGATAAGTTTTCAACTATTTTAATAAATATTCTATCTGCTCCTTTTTCTCTCTCTTCTCCTTCTGAACATCCATTATGCTTATTTTAGTATGCTTAATAATGTTCCACAGGTCTTTCAGCTTCTGTACATTTTTCTTCCTTATTTTTTCTCTCTGTTCCTCAGACTGGATAATTTTCAACTGAGTTGTCTTCCAGTGCTCTGATTCTTTCTTCTACTACTTCATATCAGCTATTGAGTCCCATCAGTGAAATTTGCATTATTTCTATTATTGTATTTTTCAGTTCAAGAGTTTCTATATTTTTAAATAATTTCTACCTTCTTATTGATATACTATCTTGGTTTACAAATTGTCATTATGCTTCCCTTTAATACTTTAGACATTGTTTTCTTGAATTCTGTAAATATACTTCTAGTAGCTATATAAAGTCTTCTTTCCCTAAGTCCAACATCAGGGCTTCCTTAGAGATAGCTTATATTGATTACTTTTTTCACTGTGTAGGACCATACTTTCCTTTTTATGGCTCATAATTATTTTATTGAAAACTAGTGATTTTAGAAAATATAACTCGGCAACATTGTAAGTTAGATATCCTCTGCAAAGTTTGTTCTGGCTGCTGTTGTGTGTTTGTTGTTGCTGCTGCTGTTTGTTTAGTGACTTTCCAGGACTAATGCTGTATGGTCTAAATTCCCTGTGATGTGTGACAACTAAGATCCTTTCTGGGTTAGTGTAAGAATGAGATAGTAGTTTACAAGAAATTTTATTGAACCAATAAATATTCAATGACTTTGCAGAGAGTCTCTGCAAAGTTATTGAACATGCATTTGACACTTAGGCAATTTACACATACTGCTTGCACAGAGCCTCAAGGCCAACCAGAGGCAAAAGATTTCCCCTCGCCTTTGCTGCCCACATGCATAGCAAGTTCCTGACCTGTTAGCTGGGATTTTAAGATGGTTATGTAAGCCACATGGAAGTGGGTACTTCCTTCTTTTCCTCCTATACATTGTCTGACCTCCACTTTCCAAAGGTTTTACTACTACTTAGTTCTAAGCTGGTAAAGACAAAGAATCAGACACTTTAAAAAGAAGGAAAATAAGTAATAGGGATTTTGGTGGATTATGAAAATTGATCACTTAACATTTTAAAATACATAGAAGATTATCTGGAAACCTGCCATTTAATATGTGCCGTTAGATTCGCCTTACCTTCTCTGTTTTTTAGCATTTTACACAGTGGCAGATAATTTCTTAATATAAAGATGTAAGAAATCAATCCTGGGTGAAAACAAAATAATATCTGTATTACTGTCTGTGTCACTGATACAATATGATTTAAGAAGGAGTGTCACTATGGTTTTCAATGATGCTGAGCTCAAAAGATTAAATTGTCTCCTGAGCATATTAAATGAACCTTTAATAACTCCATATGGGACTCTCATACATGATTTTACTTAAAGTTTTCTAAAGTTTAAATATATGTATATATCCTCTCTCTATATATATATACACACACATATATACACACATATATTTAAAGTAAAATATATATATAAACTAATATATATTATATATAAAGTAAAATCTAACTTGATTTCAACCTTAAAGTATTCATAACTCTCTTAGCCCTTAAATACCAATATGTCTTGAATATGGCCTAGGGATAAAGAAGGGGTCGCTTACTTAGGTCCCAAGCGAAATTGTCAAGGATTCTGTTTAGCCACAAAAGCCGTTAGGAAAAGGGCACTGAAGCTCTATGACAGTAGGCACAGAGAACTACCAGATTATCTGAGCTTCAGATTCCAATTTCATTTCCGCTCAGTTTGCAAGCTGTTTCTACAACCATGATTTCCCTCTCCCCAGTCTCCTGTGAGTGATGGCTGCCGGGACGGCCTGTCGGCTGCTGGCTCACGGCTCCCAGCCTGCGGTTTCCAGTGCCTGTGCGCTCCATTGCCAGTGGTTCTTGTCTAGGAGAGGTGCCATTCCCACTGCAAAATTCTGCATGTACGTTTGACATGCTCACTTCCTTACAGCAGCTTTAATCTGTCACATACTTGCTCAGGAGCCTTCAACAACCTTCCGTGTCCTACTTCACCCATCCAGACTCTTCATGGCTTTGAAGGACTCCACTGCACGACTGGACCTCATTTCCTAACCAGGTCGCTCGCCACTCCCACTCCTCACCCAAAGCAGATAAACTGATCTACCCTGTTCTTCTCCCCACTGACCTTCGTACTGTTCTTTCCATATGGCCTAGTTTAAATCGGTTTCCTCCTTGTGACTCTATAAATACTATTTTTGTTGTCATTGTCATTGCTGTTGATATTGGTTTACAGTTTAATGTCTCCATAATGAATATGGTGACCATACAATTTATTACAATTTATTGTCCAAACCAGGATACTTTTGAGAGTGAGGGCGTTTCTATTAATGAAATACCTGGGCAAGAGGCATAGGCCAGATGTTTTAGGCTGAGGCTGCTCAGAGCAAGCCAGGCCACATAGGCACCTTATTTTAGTACATTTTAAAATAACATTTTAAGAATATTTATTGAAATATTACAAGTTAGATGATTATTGACCAAATTAAAATTCTACTTTGGACTCAGGTTTAATTGCCAAGGAAAGAAAAAGCAGCTACAATCTTAACAACTTAGAGAAACGCCAACTTGACATTAAAATAGTGACTTCCCTGCCAGAGATTTTCCTGTTTTGCTTATCATGCTAAGCTACCTTTTAAAGAGATAAAATAAATGTAATAGATCAGCAATTTCTGTGTTAATTTGAACATGGTTGGTGTTTATTATTATTATCCATAAACTAAGAAAGTCTCAGTGGAAAAGTCATGTTCTTTTTATCCTCATCTCATAAAATCTGGCTGTCCACAGTTCTTCAAAGTTCACTGTATAACCAGACATGGATTAACCAAACATTTATATAAATTTACCAAGTTTTAAAGATTAATTCAATTAATCCGAACTAATCCAATCTACTTGACCTAAGTTTATAAGACACTGATAGAAATCTCTCCATAAATAGTCTGAGGACATTAGGCCCTTGTTACTCAAGGCAGTAAAAAAACAAAGCAATTTGTTAAAAATCACACAGAAGATGCCTCTAGAGCTCAGCCCTCCCAGGCCAGGTTCCCCTCACACAGAGAATGCAGGAAGGAGGAGGAAAGATGAGGTGCCCGTGAGTGCGGAGGGGACACCAAGGGACAGCGGGCTGCCTAACCAAGGAGGGAGGCTCGCCTCCTTCCACGAGAACAGACCGGAGACTCTCGACTGAGAGAAGAGACTGTCTGGGTTGTGGTGCCAGTGGCCCTTCTACTAAAAACAGCAACATCAATAATAATGGTGTTTAACATTTAGTAAGCACTTAATATATAACAGCGACACTAAATCTTCAGGCTTCCTTCACCATCGCTGATTATCATCTGAAATACTGATATATCGTGGCAGTGCCTGGAGACCTCCTAGATCCACAGCAATGTTAATGGTCAGGTGGAAATGAGTGACTGGGAACAGAGTGGGACACCTGTTTACACAGCCAGTTCGACACGGCGTGGAATCACATGTCCTCAGGCTTGTTAGTCCCTACTCAGCAGGGATGCATTTTATAGAAATTACAGATCTGATAAAAGGCTAGTTTGAGATGTTTTATAAATAGCCTGGGAATTCCTTTCGCTGTTAATTAAGCCCTGCGTGGTGTCTTCATTTCTGTGATGTGTGCCATTCTCACTGGCTTTCATGTTGCAACAAAGAACAATTTTCCCTGTTGTGGGAGAAATGGCCAGGAGGGAAACATTATTAATTCTTCATGAAAGAATAGGAGTTTTTTTTAACGTTCAGCTTTTTAAAATCAGTGCTTTGTGATCCTCTGGCACATCACACATGTGTTCGGGTGTCCCCAGAGAAGCATTTTCTCAGACCCTCCTTATGCAGATTCGTTTTTACTGAATGCAGCAGAGCAGGACAGCATTCCTTCTTCTTCCCAATGCATTTTGGCTTCTTTACACAAGAGCCGGGCTGAGTCATGAGCCTCAGAGCCTATGCCCTCTCTTCTCACAGAGCAGCCTCTTTCTTTGTTCCAAGGTAGATGCACTATGATGATGCTATAGTCTATGAAATTCATCCAGCATCTCCGTGTCACTGCGCTGCCTTGGAGTCTATGAATCCCAACTCTGGCCTTGTCTCTATCTCAGGTGTGGAAGAAATTAGGAAACAGAAAAGAGGACTGCAACGGCAACTGCCACAGGAGCCTACCGTCAAGTCCCTTCCCAAATTCACAGCCATCTACCAACGAGTCAAAGCCAAAGCCATCTTTATTAGACTTTATGTTGAATAACTGCTTTGGAAACACCAGGTTCCCAAGGCGGGTCTTAGGGACTGATGTGCGTATCTACTCCTGAGCTTGCTGGGGGAGCTGCAGAAGGAATGGAGGAGAAAGCACCTCCAGGTTCTTCAGAGCCCCAGGCTTGCACGCTGTGAGCTGAAGGTCATAGGCTCTACCATGCAACATGCAGGATGCAGAGCCGTAGGGGCGGGAGAGGAGCCCATGCTGAGGAGTACCTGGGTCCATCAAGCAGGGTGAAGGGAGCAGAGGAGGACGCAGCCTGGGATTCTGCACACTTACTTCCCGACGGCTCCACAGGGACTGTAAAATAGGCTTCTTCCAAGATTCACTCGCTGAAGACAGGATATTGTGGATGCTGAAACTTTGCTCTGGAGGGATGTCGATGGTGACTTGGGCACTCGCCTAGGCTCAATGAGATGCCAGGGACCAAGACCAGCACGTTCACACTTCAGCGTATTCCCATGTCTACCAACACCATCGCTTTCTCGCTTCTTCCCAGTGCAAAGGAGATAGTGTGTATGAACCATAGCCCACAGGCCACACATGACAACAGGACCTACACTGACAGACCTTGTTGTCACAGGTACTCAGAACCCACCACCAATAACCTCTTTCCAGAATTAGCACTTAGGGGCCCTGATGTATAAGGCTCACCTGACTCTACCTTCCCACCTGCCCCCCACCATCCCCCCCCCCTCCTGCAGCAGGGTGCTGTCCTCCTGAGGGCCTGTGTCCCTGAGGGACAAAGGCCACACGTCGATTTTCAGAGTAAGATTTTTTATTTTCTTGATTAGCCTTGTCAGCCTAAAGGGAAGAAACTGAGGCAAAATTAATATAAGTGGAGAGATCTTTGGGGCCAACTTGAGGACTGCAACCCGGGAGCACAGATTCAAGTTGCCCTGAATATCCACTCCAAATAGCAGCAGTTACAAGTGGGTTTTTAAAGGCAATGAACGGGGACAGGGAGTGGGCTGATACAAAGGGCTTTGTCAGGAATTCTCACTGGCTTACAGAAAATACGTTGATCAGTGATTAGCCACACACTGTTATGTAGGGTGTGGGTTATGTCCAGCGTGGCCTTATTAGGTTAATTTATAGGCACTTGTAGTAGCAGCAGTTTCCAGAGATGAATTCATAGCTCAAGAGGGAATTGGGACATGATTACAGTCTTGTTTTGACATCTCTCTGGGCCTGATCATTAAAAGGACTTGCATTCCTCAGAGTTCTTTGCTTAGCTTCTCTGTCATTCACCATCCCAGCCACAGCCCCCTTCTGTCTTCTAACCTTTCATTACTCAGCACTTATGCCATACTGGACAGTGCAACAGGTGCTGCAAATGAGAGGGGAACAAGGTGGACATGGTCACTCTTGTGCTGTGTGTGGTCTAGAGATAAACATACACAAGATGTACAAAAACAAAGCAATTACACATGTGATGAAAGCTATTAAGGAATAAGTCGAGTGCTGAGATGGAGAGCAACTGGGGCAGGGATCTCTGCTTTAGACAGAGTGGTCAGGGGAGGTCCCTCAGAGTAGTTGAGACTTCATCTGGGACCAGAAAGATGGAAAACAACCAGTCATAGAAAATGTGTGTTGCCTGTGTGTGTAGCAGGTGTGGTGGGATGGACAGTCTACAACAGGGAAGAGTTTGGCTCAGAAAAGTGTGTCCAATGAGTAGAATAAACAGACACAGGATGAATTTGGGAATCAGGCAGGGACCATATTATGGTAGCCATGAGAGTTCAAGAAGAAAGTTTATTTTATACTCTAGGTATAAAAATAAAATAAAACAAAATGAGAGTTTTAATCAGAATAGAAACATGATTAGGATAAATATTTGCTGAACGAATGAAGAAATGGGTGAGTGAATGGGTTCATTTCCTTCCAATCCCACAGCTTTAGATAGAGTCTGTGCCCCCTGAGTCCCATCTCACTTCCATTCCTTCTTTTCATACACTGCTATCTTCTCATCACCTCTCAGGCAATGTGAAACCCAACCTCTGTCCTTCACAACTCTCTTTTTCTCACATCCTCACCTCACTGGGAGAGGAGAGCCACATGTCAACCTAGAGTTACCCCTTGAATTATTTGAAGACACACAGAATTGCTTGCAGACATTTGCATTAGATAAAAATGTTATTTTGCAGTTTGTTCCCCCAAAGCTGCTAGTTCTCCTTCCCTGCCATGGGAATACATCCACTGGAAGCTGCTAGTTCTCCTTCCCCGCCATAGGAATGTATCCATTGGAATGGAAGCTCCATGGGAGCAGGACACGTGTATTCTCTATTTTACTTCTGTGCACTAATATGTTACCTAGCCCTGTGACCTCAGCAGCAGTGCCAAATCTGTCATTCTGTGCCTGCTGACAAAGGTGCTTACAGCCTCTGACAATCTCCTAACACCTCTCTGAGGGAAAGAGGAACAGACTTAATACTAGTAGCTGCTTTTATTGGTGAATAAAATTGAGGACTGCTAGTGGATTTTATAAGTACCAAATTTCCCTAGAAAAGCATTGAGAAGGCCTAAAGCAAGGGACTTTAGTCCATAAATTTGGAAAAATACCTTCCCTCGCCAGGAGGGTAAAGGTTTTGATTTATCCAGAACATTTATTATGGTTTTAAAGGATTTTTTAACCCATGTTTGTTTCACAAGATTGGCATGGAAATGTCATCTGCTCTTAGCTTTTCTGCATTTTTAAAGCATCAAAGGTCTAACCTTGTCTTTCCATAGCCCACGAGAAAGACCTGTGGCTTCTGTCTTAAGCAGTTCCTCACACAGAGCATATTTTGCATAAGTTAAATTGTTAATGGCTATTCAAGGGCTGTAAAATGTTTTGCATTTGTTTTTCTTCTCTTTATTTTTTTTTAAACTCCTTTAGGTGATTCATCAAGCCTACTTCTTGAACCAGCTGTGAGAGATCAAGAAATGTTATTTGCATTCAAGGGAAGAATTTTCAGGCAAGAAACAATCTGCCTGTTGAATACATTCATGTGAATAGAAAAAATGTTTTAAAGCTGAGCAAAAAGAAAGCAAGGGGCACACATGGGAGAGAGAACTACCTCTCAGTATGAACCGTGCAGAACTTTGATCATAACTTTAAATAAAACCAGATTTCACCAGGTGTGACAAGCTCTGGATCCAGAACATCTGCAGCTCTGATTAGAGCTCAGACTCGCTCTCACAAGGCTTGCTTGCTTTCTCCTTCAATTCAGTTGCCCTAGATAAGGAAGGCCCTGCTCTCAAACCTGCATCTTAAGAAGCGAGGCCCCAGAGTGGCAGGGAAAGGCAGGAGAGCAGGAAACGCACCACACCTGAGTTAGAAGGCTTGGGTTCTACGTTCAGCTGGGACAATAGATAAATAGAATTGCTATTAATAAAACTCAAGGCATGATTTCAACAATGACAATCCACACTCACTGAGTGCTTTATACGTGTCATGTACTATGCTAGTGTTGAAAGAAAAGCTTTAAAAAATTAAATTTAAAAGTTCATTTGAGCAAAGGGTAATTCATGAACCAGGTAGCACTCTAAACCAAAAGGGGCTCAGAGCACTCTGCTCTGCAGGTGATGGGACGTGAGTTTTTATAGGCAGAACACAGAAGTACAGAAATGGCGGCTGGATTGGCTTCAGCTGGGCCTTATTTGCACATGGTCTGATCACTTGGCTGCCTGTGATGGGCTGAGACCTGGCTATCTATTACAAAATTATATACTCCCATGGTGGGTTCCAGTGTGTTCACATACTAAGGTGGGTTATATGTCCTTACTTAGGAACTCAAAGTATGGAGACAGACTCAGGCCAAACTTAATTGAACGCTAGGTATTTTATAAGCATGAACTAACATATTTCTAATATCCCTTTGTACTTTGTTTTTTAACAAACCTGAGGCTTAAAGAGGGTGATTTTCCCACAGTCATTTTGCTAAGTATGATACTTTGACGAACCAATTAGACTTTTCTGGACTTTAGTTATTTGTTGCTGTTTATTTTTAATCTGAAAAATGAAGGGATGGAATAGGAGCATGTTACAATTATTTTTAACGCCATGATTATTTGATTGGACAATTCTCTTAGCCATGCAAGATGTGTTGTCTCTCTGTAATCTGAGTTTTGACAAACCAAATCTGCTGCCCCATTCTTCTGATGCAGCAGATGTAGCATGGTGTCTGGCGCAGAGAAAGCCTTCCGAGTGGGTGCTTCATATCAGTCACTGTGTGAGTTTAATCAGCTTGCTCACGCCTAATTTTCCACCCAGTTCTTAATTTATTCATTTTATGAAGACATAGGTCTAGGTGATCTTTAGAGTAGCTCTACAGTCTAACACTTTATATTCAAGACAACTAAAATGCCAAGTTATGAAATGCCAAAATGATACGAATCAGGCTCCGACCAGGAAAAATGTTAATAATTTATCTGTATTTCCTTTCTAGTGCCTCAACCACATATGGCTATTTTTGCTCTCAAAGCCTAACATTAAGGAAAACTACAGAAGGGAATATGCAGTTTGACAAATTTTACTGATCAAGAACAATTTTTTAATGATCTTTGAAATCCACTTGAAAGCCAATATAGATGAGAGATTACAAATGTGGGAATGAAGGGGGTCCCTGTTCATACTCAGCGTTCGGGGGCTGTAGGACATCCTGATCTGCCTTCTACTCACATGCGGCTGGAAAAAACAACAGCTCACAAAGGAAAGAAAACCTAAATAATAGCTTATTTATATAGTAATTAGATGATAGATGATAGATAGATAGATAGATAGATAGATAGATAGATAGATAGATAGATGAGAGAGAGAGAGAGAGAGAGGTGAGGAAAACTCTTTAAAATATCACCATGGTAAATATAATATCAGAGATTCTTCATATTTGTTTGTTTTGCTTTTGGAAGTACTCATATGTCACCATCTAGCAGGACTAGATGGTGATGCAAATTCCACCAAACACTAAAAAGAAGAGTCTATTTTCTTGAAACTGAGAAAAACTCATACCCTCAAAGACTGAAGACTAATCTTTGATTTGCTGAAAGCTTGCCTAAGAGTTGGAGATCTCTATGTTCTGCAGCTTTGGATTACACCAATGATTGACTCTTTGTTTTCCGGAGTTTAGAGTTGAGGTCGGGTTTCCTCAGAGCCCTGTTCTTATTCTGCTGACTGGACATTCTCTCATTACTCCATGACCTCTACCTGTCCCTCCCACCCTCACTTTTCTGCTAGGGTGAAAGTAATCTGTTGAAATCCTTAGCAACCATTTACTTGATATGGTACAAATCCAGCTGAAAGGTGCAAATAATTCAAGACTTGTATACATTTCTTAACTAGAAACTAATTTTTAGCTATCCTGGAAGGTTTTTTAACTGTTTCTGGGTATTTTAATAAACCCCTAAAATTTCAGTTCAGTGACTTATATTTTTTTAGTTGAAAATCGTTTCAAATTTAAATAAATGCTACAAGAATAAGAATAATACAAAGAACTCCCAAACACCTTTAATAAGATTTACTTAATTGTTAACATCATGCCTCATTTGTTTTCTCAATCTCTGTTCTGTCTCTATCTTTATGTCTCTGTCTCTGTCACATATATGTGTGTGTGTGTATATGTATATATGTGTATATACGTATGTGTATATATGTGTGTGTATATATGTATATCATTTGCAGTTAAGTTTCATAACATCATAACATTCATTATGACCTTGACCTTTACTGTTCAGTTTATATGTCCTAATATTTATATTTTTACATAAATCATATAATTTGAAATTTTAGTAAGTTGATGCAATCATTTATTTTTATTTTGTATAGTTATATCTTTATGTTTTACCTACTCTTCCATTCACTTTACTAGGTTTTAAATTGACCCAATAATACGCCTCATAGCATTTTTTTTCCTTCCATTGAGGATCCATTCTAGGATCAGAAATTGTGTTTACTTATCATGTCTCTTTAGTTTCTTTCCATTTGGAAAAAAAAATAATCTCTATATCCTTTGTCTTTGAGGACATTAACATTTTCTAAAAATACAGCCCCAGTTATTTATAAACATAATGTTTCTCATTTGGGGGTTGTCTGATGTTTATTCATGGTTAGATTCAGGCGATGCATTCTCAGCTGGAATACAACAGAGGTATATTTTGTTCCTCTCAAAACAAAGTATCACATCTGGGGTGTCCATATGTCCACATTAGTGATAATTTTGATCACCTGAGCAAGTTGTTGTCTGGTTTCTCCATTATAAAAATTATTCTTTTTTCTTTGCTAGTAATAAGCAGTCTGTGGGTAGACAAAACACTTTAAGGGCATGAAATGCATTATTCCTCAGCAAAATATTCCCCCTAGATTTATTATCAAGGATAATTCTAGCCTGATCCAGTCTTTACTCCGATGATTACAAAATAAAGGTTTTTTTCTAACTTTATTACTTCTTACACATTTGCCAGTCATCATATAGCATTCTATTACTAGCAGGAACTTCTGTGCCTGTTTATCACTTTATATCTGTATGAGCTCCTGAATTCTTATTCTTTCAATGGTTTATAACTCATTACTATTCTTATTCTGGTGCTCACATCGCCCAAGATTCGGGTCATTGGAGCCCCCTTCAGATAATGCCTTGCAGTATGCCTCCGCCATTGTTTTAAGCACTATCCTACTTTGTGGTATAACAAGGTGTTTGGGATTCACCTTGAACCTACCATGCCCAAGTCACAAAAACAACAGGTCTTCCAAGGATCCCTAGTTCTCTTTATGGAAATGATATTAGAGAGCAAAGCCCAGCCTCTTGGTGGTAGTGAGGCATCTTTCCTTCTAGGTTCTTTTAGCAGACAGAGCTAGGAAATACAAAAATTGACACAGCCATATACGCATATACACATACCTTTATGTGAGCACACTAAAAGGACCTATTCAGAGTCCCAGGGTTTAAGATTATTTTAAACTGAAGACATTTGAGATTCAACAGATACAGAAAGAAGGCTTTTTGGAGCTTTCCTTGTTTGACTAAAAGCAGAAACTTTGGGAAAGTGAGATTGCATAACTGTGGGGAGGTTTTTGCTCCACGGAAGGAGACCCAGAGTAAACTTATCATAAACTGCTCTCTGGGGAAGTTTTATGGCCATGAAGAAGATGGAAAGACCACATGCACTTCCATAAACAAATATCACGAACTTTCTTACCTCCTATTTGTTCTTCTAGAAATCCTTTGTCTTCCTTAAAAAACCCCACTTGTTCTTTCCATAGAAGCCCTTGCTTACTTCTCTCTTTATCTGAGTAAGTTCTGTTATAAATCTCTAACTATATATCTAGCTACTTTTAGTAAGCTCCTATAGACATGTGAATAAACTTTTTTTTCAGGTTCATCTGACTTTTATCTGTTTAATTTGCAGGCTCCCAGATACTGAACCTAAGAGGGTAGGGAAAAACCTTTTGCTCCCTGAAAACATATATATGCATATGCACATACATTTACATGTTTTTAGAAATTATGAGTTTGCAATGATATCTCCAATTCTAATATATTCCACGGGCTCTCACGTCTCTTCCCGAATTTCATGTCTTTGTGTAACTTCTTCAGAAGATAACCCTGACTTCCATAACATCCCCCAATTTTTTAAGTACTTTTTAAAATTTCAGTAGCGTTTGGGGTAGAAGTGGTTTTTGGTTACATGGATGAATTGTACAGTAGTAAAGTCTGAAATTTTAGTGCATCCATCACCTGAGAAGTGTACACTGCACCCAATATATATTTTTTATCTTTCCTCCCCACTCCCAACCTTCCCCTTCTGAGTCTTCATAGTCTTATGTTATCACTCTGTATGCCTTTACATACCTATTGCTTAGCTCCCACTTACAAAGTGAGAACATGTGGTATTTGGTTTTCCATTCCTGGGTTACTTCACTTAGAATTATACCCTCCAGCTTTATCTGAGTTGCTGCAAAAGACATCATTTGCTTCTTTTTTAAGGCTGAGTAGTATTCAATGACGTGTATATACTACATTTTCTTTATCCACTCATTGCTCAATGAGCACTTAGATTGGTTCCATGTCTTTGCAATTGTGAATTGTGCTGCAATAAATATACATATGCAGGTGAATTTTTGATAAAATGATTTATTTTCCTTTGGGTAGAAACTCAGTAGTAGAAATGCTGAATAGAAAGGCAGATCTACTTTCAGTTCTTTAAGAAACCTGTGTACTGTTTTCAATAGAGTTTGTACTAATTTACATTTCCACCACTGGTATATCAGAATTCCCTTTTCACCACATCCACACCATCTATTGTGTTTTGACTTTTTAATAATGGCTATTCTTGCAGGAGGAATGTAGTGTCTTGCTGGGCTTTTAATTCACATCTCCCTGATGATTTGTAATATTGAGCATTTTTTTTCACATTTGCTGACCATTTGTATATCTTCTTTTGAGAATTGTCTGTTCATTTCATTTGTTCATTTTTGATGGGATTATTTATTTTTTCTTGCTGATTTCTTTAAGTTTCTTGTATATTCTGGATATTAGTCCTTTGTTGGACATATAGTTTGCAAATATTTTTTCCCATTCTATGGGTTATCTGTTTACTCTGATGATTATTTCTCTTGCTGTACAGAAGCTTTTTAGTTTAATAAGGTTCCATTCGCTTATGTTTTTTATATTCCATTTGCTTTTGGGATCTTAGTCATGAGTTCTTTGCCTAGGTTAATGTCAAGAAGAGTTTTTCCTAGATTATCTTCATAATTTTTATGGCTTCATGTCTTAGATTTAAACATTTGATTCATCTTGAGTTAATTTTTGTATAAGGTGAGAGATAGGGATTCATTTTCATTCTTCTGCATATGACTAGCCAATTTTCCCAGTACCATTTATTAACTAGAATGTCCTTTCCTCAATTTATGTTTTTGTATGTTTTATTGATCAGTTGGTTGTAAGTATTTGACTTCGTCTCTGGGTCCTCTATTCTGTTCCATGTGTCTACTTTTATACCAGTACCATACTGTTTTGGCAACTATAGCCTTATAGTGTAATTTGAAGTCTGGTAATGTGATGCTTCCAGATTTGTTTTCTCATTAAGATTGCTTTGGCTCTTCAGGCTCTTTTTGATTCCATGTGAATTTTAGGATTGTTTTTACTAACTCTGGAAAAAATGATGTTGGCATTTTGATGGGAATTGCACTGAATCTGTAGATCACTTTGGGCAGTATGGTCATTTTCATAATATTGATTCTACCCATCCATGAGCATGGGATGTATTTCTATTTGTTTGTATCATCTATGATTTCTTGCAGCAGTGTTTTGTAGTTCTCCTTTTGTAGATCCTTCACCTTCTTTGTTAAGTATATTCCTAGGTATGTTGTTATTATTTTTTTGCAGCTGTTGTAAAGGAGATTGAGTTCTTAATTTCATTCTCAGCTTGGTCATTCTTGGTGTATAGCAAGCAGTACTACTGATTTTTATGCACTGAATTTATAATGTGAGACTTTACTGAATTCACTTATCAAATCTAAGAGTCTCTGGAGGAGTCTTTGTGGTTTTCTAAGTATATAATCATATCATCAGTGAACAATGATAGTTTGAATTCCTCTTTTCCAATGTGGATGCTATTTATTTCTTTCTGTTGCCTGATTACTCTGACAAGGACTTCCTGTACTACATTGAATAGAAGAGGTGAAAATGGGCATCCTTGTCTTGTTACAGTTCTCAGGGGTAATGTTTTAAACTTTTCTCCATTCAGTATAATGTTGGATATGGGTTTCTCATACACAACTTTTATTATTTTGAGATAAGTCCCTTCTATGCCTAGCTTGTTGAGTGTTTTATGATAAAAGAATGCTGGATTCTATTGAACACTTTTTCTGCACCTATTAAAGTGATCATGTTTTTGTTTTAAATTCTGCTCATATGATGTATCATATTTACTGACTTGTGTATGTTAAATGACCCCTGCCTTCTTGAGCTGAGCTAAAACCCATTTGATTATGGTGTATTATCCTTTTTATTTGTTGTTGGATTCAGTTAGCTAGTATTTTGTTGAGAATTTTTGCATCTATATTCATCAAGAATATTGGTCTGTAGTTTTAAATGTCATTTCTTGGTTTTGGTATCAGGGTGATACGGCTTCGTACAATGATTTAAGGAGGATTCCCTCTTTCTCTGTCTTTTGGAATAGTTATAGAAGGATTGGCAACAATTCTTCTGTGTATGTCTGGTAGAATTCAGCTGTGAATCCATTTGATATGTTTTGGCTGTGTCCCCACCTAATCTCATCTTGAATGGTAGTTCCCATAATCCCCATATGTCATGGGAGGGACTTGCTGGGAGGTAGTTTAATCATGGGGGCAGTTACCCTCATGCTGCTCTCATGATAGTGAGTTCTCATGAGATCTGATGGTTTTATATGGGGCTTTCCCCTGTTTTGTTCAGCACTTTCTCTGGCTGCTACCATGTGAAGAAAGACATGTTTGTTTCTCCTTCCACCATGATTGGATGTCTCGTGAGGCCTCCCCAGCCATGATGAACTGTGAGTCAATTAAACCTTTTTCCTTTATAAATTATCCAGTCTCAGGTATGTCTTTATAAGCAGTGTGAAAGTGGACTAATACAGTAAATTGGTACCAGGTGATGGGGTGCTGCTGTAAAGACACCTGAAAATGTAGAAACAACTTTGGAACTGGGTAACAGACAGAGTTTGGAAATGTTTGGAGGGCTCAGAAAAAAATAAGAAAATGTGGGAAAGTTTGGAAGGTCCTAGAGACTTTGAGACCTCAGAAGACAGGAAGATGAGGGAAAGTTTGGAACTTCCTAGAGACTTGTAGAATGGCTTTGACCAAAATGCTGTTAGTGATATGGACAATAAAGTCCAGGCTAAGGTGGTCTCAGATGGAGATGAGGAACTTGTTGGGAACTGGAGTAAAGGTCACCCTTGCTATGCAAAGAGACTGGCAGCATTTTGCCCCTGCCCTAGAGATCTGTGGAACTTTGAAGTTGAGATAGATGATTTAGGGTATCTGGCAGAATAAATTTCTAAGTGGCAACGTGTTCAAGAGGAAGCAGAGCATAAAAGTTTGAAATATTTGCAGCCTGATGATGCACTAGAAAAGAAAAACATATTTTCTCGGGAGAGATTCAAGTCAGCTGCAGACATTTGCATAAGTAACGAGGATCCATATGTTAATCACCAAGACAATAAGGACAATGACTCCAGGTCATGTCAGAGACCTTTACAGAGGCACTTCCCATCACAGGACTGGGGGCCAAGGAGGAAAAAATGGTTTCCTGGGGCGGGCCCAGGGCTCTCCTGCTGTGTGCACCCTAGGGACTTGGTGCCCTGAGTCCCAGCTGCTCCAGCCATGGCTCAAAGTGCCCGAGGTACAGCTCAGGCCATGGCTTCAGAGGGTGCAAGCCCAGGCCTTGGCAGCTTCCACAGGGTGTTGAGCCTGAAGACACACAGAAGAATTGAGTTTTGGAAACCTCCACCTAGATTTTGGAGGATGTATGGCAACACCTGAATGTCCAAGCAGAAGTTTGCTGCAGGGGTGGGGCCCTCATGGAAAACCTCTGCTAGGGCAGTGCAGAAAGGAAATGTGGGGTTGGAGCCCCCACACTGAGTCTCCAGTGGGGCACTGCCTAGGAGAGCTGTAAGAAGAGAGCCACTGTCCTCCAGACCCCAGAATGGTACATCTGCCGACAGCTTGCACCATGGGCCTGGAAAAGCCACAGACACTCAATGCCAGCTTGTGAAAGCAGCTGGAAGGGGGGCTGTAGCCTGCAAGGCCACAGGGACAGAGCTGCCCAAGGCCATGGGAGCCCACCTCTTGCATCTGCATGAACTGGTTGTGATATATGGGGTCAAAAGAGATTATTTTGGAACTTTAAGGTTTAATGACCACCCTGTTAGATTTCAGACTTGCATGAGGCCTGTAGCCCCTTTGTTTTGGCCAATTTCTCCCATTTGGAATGAGTGTATTTACCCAATGTCTGTACCCCCATTGTATCTAGGAAGTAACTAACTTGCTTTTGATTTTACAGGCTCATAGGCAGAAGGGACTTGCCTGGTCTCAGATGAGACTTTGGACCTGAACTTTTGAGTTAATGCTGGAATGAGCTAAGACTTTGGGGGACTGTTGAAAGGGCATAATTTTGTTTTGAAATTAGAGGACATGAAATAGGAGAAGCCAGGGGCAGAATAGTACGGTTTGGCTGTGTTCCCATAGAAATCTCACCTTAGATTGCAGTTTTCATAATCTCCACACTGTCATGGGAGAGACTCAGTGGGAGGTAATTTAATCACGGAGGTGGTTACCTCATGCTGTTCTCATGATATTGAGTTATCACAAGATCTGATGTTTTTATCAGGAGTTTCCTCTCTTTTCTTAAGCAGTTTCTCTTGTTGCTGCCATGTGAAGAGGGATGTGTTTGCTTCCTCTGCTACCAGGATTGTAAGTTTCCTGAACTGTGAATCAACTAAACCTCTTTCCTTTATAAATTGCCAAGTCTCAGGTATGTCTTTATTAGTAGCAAGAGAATGGCCTAATATATCACCTGACCACGGGGTTTGTTTTTGTTCTTGGCAATTTTTTTATTACATATTCAATCTCACTGCTTGTTATTGGTCTATTCAGGGTATCTATTTCTTCCTGACTTAATCTAGGAGGGCTGAATGTTTTCAGAAATTTATTTATTTTCTCTAAATTTTCTAGTTTGTGTGCATAGAGGTGACCATTGTATTTTGAATAATATTTTGTATTTCTGTGGTGTTGGTTGTAATGTCTCCAGTTTCATTTCTAATTGAGTTTATATGTATCTCTTCTCTTCTTTAGTAATGATTAATCTGGCTAATGATATATCATTTTTTTAGCTTTTCAAAGAACCAGATTTTTGTTTCATTGATCTTCTCTATTTTTGTTTGTTTGTTTTGGTTTCATTTAGTTCTACTCTGATCTTTGTTATTTCATTTCTTCTGCTAACTTTGAGTGGAGTTTATGATTGTTTCTCTAGTTCCTTGAAGTCAACACTAGGTTATCAATTTGTGATCTTTCAGACTTTTTGATGTAGGCATTTAGTGCTATAAATGTTCCTCTTAGCACTGCTTTTTCTATATCCCAGAGGTTTTGATAAATTCTGTCACTATTATTCTTCATTTCAAGGAATTTTTAAATTTCCATCTTGATTTCATTGTTTCCCCCAAAATAATTCAAGAGCAGATTGTTTAATTTTCATGTACTTGTGTAGCTTTGAGGATGCCTTTTGTAATTAATTTCCAGTTTTTTCCACAGTTGTCTGAGTAGATACTTGATATTATTTAGATATTTTTTAATGTATTGAGAGTTATTTTGTGGCCTATCATATGGTCTATATTGCAGAATGTTCCATGTGCTGATGACAAAAAATATATATTTTACAGTTCTTAGGTGGTATGTTTGGTAAATATCTGTCAGGTCCATTTGTTGTAGAGGATAGCTTAAGCCCTTTGTTTCTTTGTTGATTTTCTGTCTCGATAATCTGTCTAGTGTTGTCAGTGGAGTATTGAAGTCCCCACTGTATTAGTTCATTCTCATGCTGCTATGAAGAAATACTGAGACTGGGTAATTTACAAAGAGGAAAAGAGGTTTAACTGACTCACAGCTCTTCATGTCTGGGAAGGCCTCAGGAAACCTACAGTCATGTTGGAAGGAGATGCAAACACATCCTTCTTCATAAGGTGGCATGAGAGAGACTGGCAAGCAAGGGAAATGCCAAATGCTTATAAAACCATCAGATCATGAGACTCACTCATTATCATGAGAATGGCATGGGGAAAACTGCCACCATGATTCAATTACCTTCACCAGGTCCTGTCCTTGACATGTGGGGATTATTACAATTCAAGGTGAGATTTGGGTGGGGACACAGAGCTAGATCATGTCACCTACTATTATTCTCTTGCTGTCTATCTCATTTTTTAGGTCTAGTAGTAAATGTTTTATCAATCTTGGATCTCCAGTGTTAGGTAGATCTAAGTTGAGAATTATAATATATTCTTTTTGGATTAATCCTTTTATCATATAAGTAACTTCATTTTTTTTACTGTTGTGCTGTAAAGTCTGTTTTAATCTGATATAAGAATAGCTACTCCTGCTTGCTTTTGATTTTAATTTGCATGGAATATCTTTTTCCACTCGTTTACCTTTAGTTAATATGAGTCCTTATATGTTGGGTGAGTCTCTTTCAAACAGTAGATATTTTACCTGTGATTTTTTTAATCCATTCTGCCAATTTGTGTCTTTTAAGTGGAGCACTTAGGATATTTGCATTCAACATTAATAATGAGATGTAGTGTATTGTTCCAGTCATCCTGTTAATTGTTACCTAGATACTTTGTTTTCTTCACTGTGTTTTTGTTTTACAGGCTTTGTGAATTTTATGCATTCAAAAGGTTCTATTCTGGTGCATATCAACCTTTTGTTTCAAAATTTAGAACTCTTTTTATCATTGCTTGCAGGGCTGGTCTGTTATTGACAAATTCTGTCAGCACTTGTTTGTCTGACAATGACATCATTTCTTTTTCATTCATGAAACTTAGTTTTGATGGATACAAAATTCTTAACTCACAGTTATTCTGTTTCAGGAGGCTAAAGATAGGGTCCCAATCCCTTTTGCCTGTAAGGTTTCTGGTGAGAAATCTGCTGTTAGTCTGATAGGTTTTCCTTTATAGGTTACTTGATGCTTTTGTCTCACTGCCCTCAGAATTATTTCCTTCATGTTGACTTTAGGTAAATGGATAACTATATGTCTTAGTGAAGTCCTTTATGTGATGAATCTCCGAGGAGTTCTTTAGCTTCTTGTATTTGGAAATCTAAACCTCTAGCAAGGCCAGGGAAGTTTTCTTCAATTATTCCCTCAAATGAACTTTCTAAACTTTTTTGCTTTTTCTTCTCCCTCAAGAACACCAGTTATTCTTATGTTTGCCCATTTTACATGATCTCATATTTCTTACAGAATTTTTAATTTCTTTTTATTCTTTTTTCTTTGTCTGATTGGGTTAATTTGAATGCTTTGTTTTTGAGCTCTGAAATTCATTATTCTACTTGTTCTAGTCTTTTGTTAAATTTTCCATTGCATTTTATAACTCCCTAAATGTGTCTTTCATTTTCAGAAATTCTGATTGGCTTTTTTAAAAAATATCTTTTTAGAAAATGTTTTATTCATATCCCGAATTGATTTTTAATTTCTTTATGTTGGTTTTAAACTTTCTCTGGTATCATCTTGAGTAGCGTAACAATCAAACTTTTGAATTTTTTACCTAGTATTTCAAAGATTTCATTTTGGTTTGGATCCATTCCTGGAGAGCTAATGTAATCTTTTGGGGGTATTACAGAATCCTGTTTTGCCATATTACCAGATTATTTTTCTGGTTTCTTCTCATTTGGGTAGACTATTTCTTCTAATTATTCTTAAATTTTTTATTTGACTGGCTTTTTTAAATTTCTTTTTTCCCCTTAAGGATGTGACTTTAATGTTTATAGTTTATCATAGTCAATTTGACTCTTCATGCTTTCAGGAGTAAGACTGTAAGTTTCTTGATTATAGAAAGTCTTTGTATGATGGCTTTCTCAGATACTGGTTGTAGTAGCAATATGCTTGGTGTGTGTGCAAGTTTACTGTCACCTATGGGGTTGGAATGACAGAGACCTCTTGAAGCTCACCTCATTTCCCCATGGTGTGCATGCTTTTATTTATTTTTTTCCTCAGTATTTTATTTGCTGAGTTGAATAGTTTAGGCTTCAGGCCAGTAGAGGGGGTGTCCCTGAGTAGAAACCAGCTGTGGTGAAAGCAGGTAGGTAAATGCTATTTCCAGAGGTGGGTAGAGGTCCCAGCCTTGACAGAGATGGCTGGCAGAACTGTCAGTAAAACACACTGATGTATTATCAGGGGGAAGGGCAAGATACACTTTAGCTCCCCTGGCAGGCCAGCAGGAAAGTCATCCACCTCCCAGACACACTTCTGACCCAGTGTTCTAGCTATTCAGATCAGACAGGCACCTCTTTTTATCCACAGGAATGTTGATGTTCCAGGTAGAGAGAAACTGTGACTACTTCTCATGCAAGCCTGAACCTACAGGGTGCTCCACCTGTGGGAATGCAGTCACCCTGAAGTGTCTTGAAGTGCTTCAGAAAGGCTATGTGTAGTTCTACCATGCTGAGCTCCCATGGAAGAAGCCCCAGTTGGTTCTGCTGTGTGGAAAAGGGGGAAGTCTCCTTCTCTAAGACCCTTTATGAGCACCAGAGCTGCCTGTCTGTTGAGCTGTAGACTATCCCTGCTGAGCCCAGCACTGCAACTGGGTCTCTGTTGAAGTAAACTTCCCACTAGTGGAAAAACCTGAGACTCAAGGCCTGCCATCTATCATCTTTTGTCCTATGGGATGTTCGCTTGATGCGGTTCACTTCCTTTTACCTTAGGATTAGGAGTTCCTGATAACCAGACTAGTGTGAATGTTGCTGGTCCTCTCGGTCTAGCTGCCCAGTGGGGCTGCCACAACCCAAGCTGGTGTTGGGGAATGTCTTCAAGGGAGCCAGTGATATAAACTACCCTCAAGTCTCCTAGCAGTGGGTACCAGCACTCACTCTGATGAGGGTGGCGGGGAAGTGACAGAGTCTGTAAAGTTCCTTGGGTATAAATAGCCTTAGTGTGTAGGCTTTCTCAAATGCTGATTGCAGTAGTAATGAACTGGTCATAGGGTCACACTCAAGAGTTCCTTGTTGGCCGGGTTTGTGCAGGCAGTGGTGATAGCTGAGGTCACACACAAGTTTTCTCCTTCCTGGATGCAGTGTTAGTTTTCCTGGAGATGCTGTAATGGACTGTGTCAGTTGGCTTCCAGCCAAGAGGTGGAACTTGCAAAGGAGAACCAGCTGCGGTAGTAGTGGTAAGATTTGTGTTTGCCTTATGTTACCCAGAGAAAGTATTCTGGTTTCTAAGGTGATGGGATGGGCCATAGGGCTTCCAAAAGTTTCTATCCTTTGTGTTAAGCTACCAGAGTAGGTGGAGAAGCAAAGGCAGGTGGGGGATGGGTCAGGCAGCTTCAAGTTCTTGTTCTCCACTTGCAGGGCAAGCAGAAGTCCCTGAGGGGGTCAGGGGGCAGTTCTCTGGCCACTGGGGTAATGTTCCAGAAAGGAACATAACTGCCTCTGCTTCACAGAAGGGTTCACACAGGGAGTGGGGAATAGCAGGCAAAAGTAAGCCTCACCTAGCTCCCACACACTTGGCACAGCAGGTCTGTAACCCTCAGTATTTGCTAGCAGCAACTAGCTAAATTCCAAGCAGTCTATGCTTAGAACTCAAAACTGCCCCAGGCTGTAAGCCTTTTCCAGGCTGAGACGGGAATCTTGGGTTTCAGGCCATTCCCTTCCCTGTTCACCTGCAAAGCTAGGGCACCCAGGTCCTGTGACCATGGGAGCAGCACACTTTTCACTCACCCCCAGTGAGTATTTTTCTAATGACTGCATTTAATATATATCACACCAACTTTCATCTATAGTATTTTTATTCTTGTTAATTTCCAGAAATTCTATAATTTGTAAGTATTTCCCTTTTTATTTGAGCGTTGTATAATAGAACTTATAATTTCCAGGTAAAAAGTCATTTTGTCTCATTTTTAATTTCTAGGGATACTGTATTATGATCAGAAACTGTAATATTTACATTTTATGGAATGTACTGATGTTTTCTATATGCCCTAGTATACGATAAATCTTTGTGAATTTTCCATACATACTTAAGAAAAAAATTTTCTATTTTTATGGTGTATTACTCAATATACATCTAAAAGTTCTACCTTATTGTGTTGTTTGTTTAGTTTTTTTCTATTTTAATATATATTTTGTTCACTTATTTGTCTTTTGCAGAGAGCGGTATGTTAAATACTGTCTATATTAGTGTGCACCTATGTATTTTTCTCTGCAGCTTTTACAGTTCTTATTTAATATAGGTATTTGCCACATTATTTGGTATGTGGATGCCCATTACTGTTGTATTTTCATTCAAGATTACGGTGTTTACCATTACAAAATATTCTTTTTTATCTTACTAAATGCTGCTTAAATTCTATTTTATGTAGTATCAGAGGCTTAACATTTTCTTTCTTGTCTCATTTGAATTAGATCTTTAGTTTGTCTTTCAGTTATATCATTTCTAACCACTGAATTTTTAGTGTTCCCTTTTATATAGTTTTGTTTTATGAGTTAATTTGAACATATTTTTTCTTTAGTAAGCAAGTTAGGGTCATTCACATTTATTGATATGACAGTTATGTTTATTCTCAATTCTGCCTCTCATGTTATATTATATTACAATTACAGTGCATACTAGATTTAGTGTGACCTCTTGGACCTTCTTAAAATTTCTTTCAGTGTTTGAGAAAATTTATACCTTTATTTATATGTTGGTGGTTAACTTTGAATTAATATTTTACTAAGCTTTCAATTCCTTTTTTCTCATTTAACATATTATTATTTGATATGTTCATTTCTTTTATTATTATTTTTTTTGAGACAGAGTCTCACCCTGTCACCCAGGCTGGAGTGCAGTGTCACGAATGATATGTTGGTTTCTAATAGTATTTATTAATTCCAATATTCTAGGATGAAACAATTAAAAATTATATTCTACTTTTTCTTCTCTTCCTTCTCTCATTCATTGGTTTTATTTCTTCTACGTTGTGTGGACACATAATGGATAATTTTTAAATATAAATCTACCCATGACCCCATACTTGTGTTACTCTTATACCTGCAATGAACTAATAAACTCCTCAGGCTTTTTGCCAATGATTTCCAAGTCATGTTTTTTTAGATGAAGCTCATCCTCTAGTAGATACCTCAGGAAGGGAAATTTATGCAGTACTGAGTTCTGGAACATTCAGATATGTGCCTTGGGCCAGGTGCAGTGGCTCACACCTGTTATCCCAGTGCTTTGGGAGGCCAAGGCAGGTGGATCACCTGAGGTCAGAAGTTTGAGACCAGCCTGGCTTATGTGGCAAAATCCTGTCTCTAGCAAAATTACAAAAATTAGCTGGGCGTGGTGGCTCACGCCTGTAATCCCAGATACTCAGGAGGCTGAGACAGGAGAATCTCTTGAACCTGGGAGGCAAAAGTTGCAGTGAGCCGAGATGGTGCCATTGCACTCCAGCCTGGGAGACAGGGCAAGTCTCTTCCATCTCAAAAAAAAAGAAAAAAGAAATGTGCCTTGACACTTGACAGACAGTTTGAACAGACATATTATCTTTGACTCATTCTTTCTTTCTTTAAGCTTTCTGAAAATGTTACTGCATTGGTGGCTTTCTTTCCTTGTTGTTTTCAAGGAATCAAACTCCATCTAGGTTTTTTCTGATTTATAAGTTATTTTATCTTTCTGCTTGAAAATAATAAATTTGTTTTTATTGTTGAAGTCTAACAGTTTTACTAGCATATGGCTGAAAGATAATTGTTCCAAGTCATTTTCCTTGAAAATACATTTTCATTGTGTATTTTTGGATATAGTTCGAAGTATTAATTTTGTTCATCATTTTGGTTTTCTACTTCAGAAACATCGATTATATGTATGTTGGACCTTCTTTTCTGTCTGTAATTCCTCTTTATTTACTTCTTTATATCATTTTTATTCTCTTGATTGTTTTTCTGGTTTTCTGTAATGCTAATTATTAAATTTTTAATGTATTTTTGGGGGTCTCTAATTTAGTCTTTATTATATAATTATGCCTTCTATTTCTTTTTTCAAGTTCAATCAACTCTTGTTTAATTTCCTACTGTGTTTTTATAATTTGAGGTCATAGAATTTTTCCCTGGTTCATACTGTTTTCTTGTTTTTTTTGTTGTTGTTGTTTTTTGTTTTTTTGTTTTGTTTTGTTTTGTTTTATTGTTATTGTTGTTCATATTCCCCAGTACTTGTTTAAAAATATGTAATTCATCTTGAAGTACTGTGTTACAGTTTTTGGGGTGATATTTAACCAACACAAAAGCTTTTATTTTTTTTTACATTGGCCTGTGTACAATCTGCTTTCTTCTATTCCTATTCATTTTGTGGACAGAGTTCCTAGTTTGAGAGTTTCTTCTGGCAGGCTGGCATTCTGCTAGGCAGGACTTTTTGTGGACGATGGTGGTGGTGGTGATGGTAGTATAGGAAAAAGGAAAAGACTGAAGCTTCACAAAATCCTTCATTTTTCTGTCTGATTCATTATTCCTCCTCACCTTTTTGTCTCCAGTAAGTGTCACCCCATGTATCTGAAATGACTATCTAATGCTGCAATTTAGCACTTGTTTGAGTACCTTTCTTACAGCATTTCTCTGAATTGTGTCTCAATCCACGTTCCATATTTTTGCATTTATTAGTGCATATTTTCTTACTGAGGCGTGATTTTTCCTGTCTTCTGCACATCTTTCACATTCATCTACATTTTTATTGCAGAGTTCTTTAAACTCCTCCAGCCTGCATCCTCGGATGTCTAATACGGTTTATGTGAGCTCTGTTGGCGTTTGTCTATTTTATTCTCGCTTGTGGTAAATTGAAGATTTCAGTGTTGACATTCTCTGTCTCCATGGATTCTATATGGTTTCGTTTGCTCTCAATGTGAACTTTATGGATTTTTGGAGAGGATGTGTGGGAGATTCAGAATCAGTCTGTCAACATTATTTTCCAAACCTGCAAATCTGAGAGTTAATTTTGTAAGAAAAAAATAAGAACTCTCCCACATATACACTCTCTATAAGTGTGAGCTGCATACAGTTACTTCTTTCCAAAGAATATAATGTGGAAAGGGGGAAATACAAAGTTCTGGCAAACACTACTTTCACCAAGTGACTAAGGTGAAGATCAGTGGTTGTGAATCATGCTAGTGGAATATACCCTTGATATGAACATGGCAACATAGTCTATGATCTTCCTCTCCAAAACACATAAATCCAGTTTAGTCATGAGACAAACAGACAGATTTTAATAGAAGAGTATTATGTAATAGTTTACCAAAGCCTTCAAAACTGTTAAGGTCAGGAAAAACAAGGAAAGTATATGAAACTGTCACAGCCAACAGGAGTCTAAGGAGACATAAAAATGAAATATAATGTGGTGACCCAAATAGAATCTAGAATACAAAAAAATTATGTAAAAAACAAGGAATTCTGAAAAAAGTATAGACTTCAGAAAATAATAATGAAGTTTAGTTCACTAATTATGAAAAATTAACTATCATATTCATGTATAATGTTAATAATAGTGAAAATTGGGCTGGGTATGAGGATGCTGATATACAGGAAATCTCTATATTATATTATCAATTTTTAATAGCTGTAAAACTTTTATCTAGAAAGTATATTTAATAATAATAATAATAATAATAAAGACCAAAAAGACAATCAGAAAAGCTGACTTTTACTGATAGAGAAAAATAATATTATTTATATTTTAAAGGTCATACATATATTTTGTAAATATCAAAACTCATTCTCTGGAAATCAATTGTTGACTTATGAACAAATAAATTAGCTATTATTTACTTGAAGTTTTCTTAAAAAATAAACTCGTGCTCAGATCTAAATAGACATTTAGTGTTGAAACTTCTGATTGAGTTTCTAAGTAAGAAAATATTTAGTGTTTTAGTATACATTGGGGCTTTTTCTGAAGCTATAGTAAATTAAAGGTTATAAGTTTAATCACTTCACTAAGAATAGAGATAACAACATTAACATGAATATCTAATTTAAGAATTATAATTTTGGTTTATTTCTAATTTTGTAACAGAAAGTTAGCCTAAAAATAGTAATTAGTCTAGTTGTTTTTTTTCCTGAAGAAGCATTGTAGTTCTGTGAGTTCAGTTATATTGGTAGTAGATGCCAGCAGGTAAAATATGATGTATCAAAGTCCTTAGGTTAGTTGATCATATGGAGCTCTTTTTCTCTTTATTATGTTTTAGTTCTTAAATATCACCACATATCAGCTCAAATGCAAGAGTTTGTACGTAGAAATGCTAATTCAACATCATGCTCTAATATACCCATTACAGTTAATGTTCCTTTAAATAGTAAAAGTGAGGTGCATTTTTTAACAGAAACCTTAACATGGCATAGGAGATTATCACAATCTCTTATATTCCACTTTTCACTCACATTCAAAATTTTGGAAACAATGTTCATAAATGACAGAGAGGAAGAGAGAGAGAGAGAGAGACAAAAAAGAAAATTTAATTTTTAATCTGCAAGCTTCATTTCGTATGCATAAATATTAAATTTTATCCACAATTATATTATGTTGCCGTTTCAGAAAACCTGTCAAACAGTGTTTTTCCTCTGCTCTCACACCACCACAACAAGATTCATAAACATCCAAGATTTCCGTGTATAAATGTGGGGGGGGGTTCACTCCACCACCAGGCAAGTAATTAGTTCTGCAGCTGGCCTAGCTGGATGTCCTTCAATTCAATTCTGAAATTAAATACCTGGGGATAATGTCAGATTGTACAGATAGAGGGTTCAGTCCCCAAGACTGCCCCCGTTACCACATACTATTCACAAATCCAGGCATCCAGAACTTCTGATTGACTGACTTCTATTTGGGGTTCCCAAGATCCCCTCTTTGGGTTCAATTAACTTGCTGGAGTAGTTCACAGAACTCAGAAAAACACTTACGTTTGTCAATGTATCATGAAGGATATTGCAAAGGATCCAGATGAAGAGGCGTGTAGGGTAAGGTGTGGTGAAAGGGGCACAGAGTTTCCATACCCTCCCTGGTGCAACACCCTCCAGGAACCTCCATGTGGCCAGCTCTCTAGAAGCTCCCAGAATCAATCCTCTTGAATTTTTATGGAAGCTTCATGATGCCAGCATTCCTTCCCCTCGGGTGTAGGGCAGGGCCACCTCTGGCGAGGGTCTTATGACTCACAATCAGAAGGCAAGGTGGGAGATCAGAGTCCTTCCCTGGGGCAGGAAAAAAAAGGAAGGAGGAAGCCAGAAAGATTCTGTTTCCTGAGGCCTGTTCTTGAGGCACAACATGCCCAACATTATAACAAATGCCTGTAATGGGGGTTATGGGAGTTATGAGCCATAAAAGAAAACGTGCATGTTGTGTGTGTGTGTAACAACACCACAGATGTCAAAAATTAAAAAGAGGACAAAACTAGCTTAAAGCTGGTGCTCTCTCTCTCACTTTCTGTCACTTCTATCTCTGTCTCTCTTCTTTCCTCTCACATTCCAGAATGATTGCTATTTCAAGGGATTATATTCCTCATTCCCTTAATTTGCTCATTTATTCTGAGCACAAGCTGAAAAACTCACTTTATGTGAAGGTTTTCTACATTTAAGTTACCAGAGAATAACAGCCCTATTTCCAGGACCAGTCTTAAATCACATCAGCTCTAAATCTCATTTCCAGTCATCTTATAGTCCAAGTAAAAATTAATCCTAAGCCATTCTTTTGCCTTCATTAGATATGGAAAAGTATATCTTATTGAAAATTATTGTTATGATTATTTGAGATTATAAAAAAGTCATGAGGTTAAGTGGAAAGAAGAAATAATTCCATAGATGACACGTCTGGATTTAAAAATCTGTGCTCCTGCATGGAATAAAAAATTTGTTTCAATTTGGAAGTAAAATTAAAATTTGATAAAATGGGTTTGAATTTGGACTCCAGATTAATATTTTCAATAGTTATTCACATTAATTATCTCTGTTTAGTCATTAAAAGTAATAATTCCTCCTCAAATCTAATTTGTAAATTATTGTAATTCGTCTTTGGAGAAAAAAATCTTCCCTGCAAGTGGGTAAGGGTCTCCCACATGTGAAATTCTCAAGCAGTTCATAACTAAAAGGATGAGGTGGGGGAACCTATTTGAGAGCTTTCTCACAAAAGTGCTCTGTTCTCACAGCTGCTAAACATCCTGACGGAAATAATCTACAACAGGGACACGTAAACATTATATTCAATGTAAAATATAATACAAGGGGGTCTATTTAGGAAATTGAAAACATAAAAGGAGTGGGAGGCAATATGGCTGACGAGATGCAGCCAAAGACAACATCTCCCACCTAGAGACCAGGATATCAGGAAGACCGGCACACTCCAAGCAGATCTTTGAGGGGAAGGCATTGAGAGTGCATGGAAAAAGAACGAAGACCTTGGGATGAAGGAAGAGAAAGCTGGGAACCCTGCACAGGACTGCTGAGCACCAGGACCTGCTCCTGGCCCCCAACAGCTCCTGGGGAAGGAGTGAGTTGAACAGGAAAAAAGTAGCCTGCTCTCACCACAGACCTCTAGAATCCTAGCTTCAGGAGACCTCATGACCTCACCATCACTTAAATGTCAGGGAGAGCTGTTTGGAGAGGTGGCAGGGGCCACTCTGTGGAGCCCAGGGTGTTAAGCATGAGAACAGCTGCATTAGAGCATGGCCAGGGACACCTATGCTCCAAGACTTGCCATGCTACTCTAGGTGGCTTTGCCTTCGGTGACTGTCAAACATGGACAGAGCAGGGGAGTCCTGCCCATGAGACAGGACCGTCTGATCTGAGGACACCCCTGTTTGCCATCTTCTCCTAGGGCCCCAGGCTGGCGGCACACACTTGCAGTCCTGCCTTGAATGTCCAACCAGGGTGCTTCCTGGGGGGCCTCATTATAGCTCTTTCACCAGCAGACCACACCTGACCATTGGAGAACTTCAGCAGACTGGCAACCACTGACAGATACCAGCCTACCTACAGCCTTTCTCCACAGCAGCCTGCCCCACAGCATTGCCAATGCACACTTGGTCATGGCTTCCTTACCCTCCATTGCTTTGCCAACACATGCACTCAGATGGATTCCACCTTTTCTCCTTTGCCAGCATGCAAGTGCACACACCCTGTCATCCCACCACTGTCAGCGTGAGCATGTGTGCATGGATGCTGGTATATGGGTGCCCCATCCCCACTGATGCACAGGGACACTGTTGTGCCACTGCTGCTTGCACACATGTGTGTGAGAACAGATCCCACTGCCACTGTCCCAAAGAAGCACTTTGGTTGGCACCTCTGATTGGAGTGTTGTTGCCAACAAACAGGGAACACCCACTCCTCCAGTGCAGCAGGCTTCTAACTTCAAGGGACCAGGGAGAAAAGCCAGGGCCCAGTACCAGCTTCCCAGGTTTAGAGCTTGCAGCTCAGGAGTGATGAGCTTAGTTTTGGTAACTTGAAAGTTTAAAGAAACATCAGACTACACAGAAGAGAAAAAATCAGCACAAGAATTCTGGCAACTCAAAAAGCCAGAATGTCATCTTACCTCCAAACAATCGCACTCATTCCCCAGCAAGCATTTTTAACCTGGCTGAAATGGCTCGAATAACATACATAGATTTCAGAATCTGGATAAAAATGAAGATCATCAAGATTCAGGAGAAAGTAAAAACCCAATCCAAGGAGACTAAGGTATCCAATAAAACAATACAAGCACTGGAAGACAAATTAGGCATTTTAAGAAAGAATCAAACTGATCAGATAGAGCTAGAAAATTCACTACAAAATTTAATAGTGCAATCACAAATATTAACAGCAGAATAGAGCAAGCTGAGGAAAGAATCTCAGAGCTTGAAGACCAGTACCTCAAATCAATTCAGTCAGACAAAAATAAAGAAAAGGAAAAGAAAAAGAATGAACAAAATCTCCAAGAAATATGGGATTGTGTAAAGAGACCATACCTATGACACGTTGGTATCCCTGCAAGAGAGAGAGAAAAAAACAAGCAACTTGGAAAACATATTTGAGGATATTGTCCATGAAATTTTATCCAACCTCACTAGAGGCCAACATTTAAATTCAGAATATGCAGACAAAACCTGTGAGATACTATATAAGATGTACATCCCCAAGACACATAGACATCAGATTCACCAAAGTCAACATGAAAAAAATATCAAAGGGAGCTAGAGAGAAGGGACAGACAGGTCACCTACAAAGGAAACCCCATCAGGCTACCAGCGAAATTTTCAACAGAAACCTGACAGGGCAGAAGATATTCGACGCCTATATTTAGCATTCTTAATAAAAGAGAAATTCAAACTCATTCTCTGAGGCCAGCATCATTCTGATAGCAAAACCTGGCAGAGATATGACAAAAAAGAAAGAACCAGGTCAATATCCTTGAAGAACAGAAATACAAAAATCCTGAACAAAATACTAGCAAACTGAACCCAGCAGCACATCCAAAAGCTGATCCACTGTGATCAAGTAGGCTTTATCTCTGGAATGCAAGGCAGGTTCAGCACACACAGATGAATAAATGTGATTCATCACATAAACAGAGCTAAAAGCAAAACCACAAGATCATCTCAATAGATGCAGAAAAATCTTTCAATAAAATTCAACATCCTTTTTATGTTAAAAACACTCAACAAACTAGGTATTGAAGGAATATACTTGAAAGTAATGAGTCAGATATGATAAACCCAGAGCCAACATTATACTGAACTAGCAAACTCTGGAAACATTCCCCTTGAGAACAGGAAACAAGACAAGGATGCCCACTCTTACCACTCCTATTCAACATGGTAGTAGAAGTCCTAGCAAGAGCAATCAGGCAAAAGGAAAAAAAATAAAAGGCATCCAAATAGGAAGAGAGGAAGTCAACCTATCTCTGCAGGTGATATAATTTTATACATATAATACCCCAGAGTCTCTATTTAAAAGCTTATAGATCTGATAAACAACATCAGCAAAGTTTCAGAATATAAAGTTAATGTACAAAAATCAGTAGCATTTTTATACACCAACAATCTGCAAACTGGGAACCAAATCAAGAACACAATTCCACTCATAACAGACACACACATACCAATTATCTAGAATACAGCTAATCAGGGAGGTGAATGACCTCTACAATGAGAAATACAAAATAATGCTGAAAGAAATCAGAAAAATTAAAAAGTATTCCATGTTCATGGATAGGAAGAATTGACATCACTAAAATGGCCACACTGTCCAAGCAATTTATAGGTTTAATACTATTCTTATTAAACTATCAATTACATTTTCTACAGAATGAGAAAAAACTATTTTAAAATTCATAGGGAACCAAAAACGAGTCCAAAGAGCCAAAGCAATCCTAAGCAAAATGCACCAAGCCGAGGCATCATACAACCCGACTTCAAAATGCACCAAGCCGGAGGCATCATATAACCCGACTTCAACATGCACCAAGCCGGAGGCATCATATAACCCGACTTCAAAATGCACCAAGCTGCAGGCTTCATATAACCCGACTTCAACATGCACCAAGCTGCAGGCATCATACAACCCGACTTCAAAATGCACCAAGCCGGAGGCATCATATAACCCGACTTCAAAATGCACCATGCCAGAGGCATCCTATCACTCGACTTCAAAATGCACCAAGCCGGAGGCATCATGTAACCCAACTTCAACATGCACCAAGCCAGAGGCATCATATAATCCGACTTCAAAATGCACCAAGCCGCAGGCATCATACAACCCGACGGCAACATGCACCAAGCCGCAGGCACCATATAACCCGACTTCAAAATGCACCAAGCCAGAGGCATCATATAACCCGACATCAAAATGCACCAAGCCGCAGGCATCATATAACCCGACATCAAAATGCACCAAGCCGCAGGCATCATATAACCCGACGTCAAAATGCAATAAGCCGCAGGCACCATATAACCCGATGTCAAAATGCACCAAGCCGCAGGCATCATACAGTCCGACTTCAAAATGCACCAAGCCGCAGGCATCATACAGTCCGACTTCAAAATGCACCAAGCCGCAGGCATCATACAGTCCGACTTCAAAATGCACCAAGCCGCAGGCATCATATAACCCAACTTCAAAATGCACCAAGCTGGAGGCATCATATAACCCGGCTTCAAAATGGTACGAGTTTGCAGAAACCAAAACAGCAAGATCTGGAACAAAAGCAGACACACAGGTCAGTGAAACAAAACAGAGAGCCCAGAAATGAGCCACACACCTTCGATCATCGAATCTTTAATAAATTCTACAAAAACAATGGGAAAATAACTCTCTATTTATTAAACGGTGCTGAGATACCTGGCTAGCCATATGTAGAAGATTGAAGCTGGACCCCCTTCTTTTCTCCACATATAAAATTAACTCAGGATGATTAAAAACTTAAATGTAAAACCTAAAACTATAAAAACCCTGCAAGAAAACCTAGCAAATATCATTCTGGGCATATTTCATGATGAAGATGTCAAAAACAATAAAAACCGAAATTGACAAATGAGACCTAATTAGAAAGCTTCTGCACAGCAGAGCAACTATCAACAGAGTAAGCAGACAATCTACCGAATGGGAGAAAATATTTTCAAACTATGCATCTGACAAAGGTCTAATATCCAGCACCTATAAGGAAC
The DNA here is from genome assembly GCF_000001405.40 of Homo sapiens. Classification (NCBI taxonomy): domain Eukaryota; kingdom Metazoa; phylum Chordata; class Mammalia; order Primates; family Hominidae; genus Homo; species Homo sapiens. The sequence goes on from NT_187679.1 coordinate 180,830, forward strand.
TATATTTACAAGCAAAACATATTTACAAGCAAAAATCAAACAACCCCATTAAGAAGAAGTCATACACGTGACCAAAAGGTATGTAAAAAATGCTCACATTGTTCATCATTAGGGAAATGTCATTCACAGCTACAATGAGATCCCATCTCACAGTAGTCAGAATGGCTGTTATTAAAAAGTCAAAAAATAACAGATGCTGGCAAGCTTGTAGAGAAAAGGGAACACTTATGTGCTGCTTGTCGGAATGTAATTTAGTTTAACCATTGTGAAAAGCAGTTTGGTAATTTCTCAAAAAACTTCAAATAGAACTAGCATTCAACCCAGCAATCCCATTATTGGGTATATACCCAAGGGAATATAAATTGTTCTACCATAAGGACACATGCATGTGTATGTTTATCTCAGCACTATTCACAATATCAAAGACATAATATCAAACTAAATGCCTATCAATGATAGGCTGGATAACTAAAATATGGTACATACACACTATGGACTACCACGTAGCCATAAAATAGAATGAGATCATGTCCTTTGCAGCAGCGTGGATGGAGCTGGACACCATCATCCTACACAAATTAACACAAGGACAGAAAACCAAGCATTGCATGTTCTTACTTATAAGTGGGCATTAAACATCGAGAACAAATGGACACGGAGAAAGAAACAATAGATGCTGGGGCCTGTCTGAGGGTGGAGGGTGGAAAGAGAGTGAGGACAGAATGACCTATCAGGTACTATGCTTATTACCTGGGTGACAAAATAATCTGTACACCAAACCCCCACGACCCACCAAGTACCTAGATAACAAACTTGTACGTGTAGCCTGGAATCTCAAAAGTAAACACAAAACAGCATTGATGAGATTTCTGTTGCAAATCTCCTATATGAGTAGTTATTGAAATTCTAAAAATGGAAACTTAAAAATAATGCTATTCAGAAATCTCAATAAAAGTCTAGTGCTCATACAGGTTTGCATTATCTTCAAGTCATCAAATTAAGAAACAGCAAAAGTGAAAGGAAAGCCTTGACTTACGTTCTGCATTCCAGTGACGTGGACCACCTGCTCCACACGTTGAAATAAAGATGGGGGTTTACTGCTGCATCTCTTTCATATGAAGAAAACACAACTCAGATTTCCATCAAAGAACAAAACCAAATTAATTTCACAGTGAGATAAATACAAACACAAACTTTTCAACATCCTAAGAGAGAAACAGCAGTTCTTAACTGATTACAGTAAAAATCAGACACAGCTCAGATTGATTAGGGTTTTTAAAACTTATATGAAAATAAAACAAAAAAAGTGAAAATCTTAATGAGATTCTCCAAAAGAATAAAATATTTGTCATTCGGTGCTACATCCATTAAGTTAAAATTGTATGCCAGTAATCAAACAAAAGTCCTATTTTAAAAGTTTCAAATAATTTGGAAAGATGAACTGGAACATCCAATGAAAATGTTAGGTGCTGCTCTCAAAGAAAAAAAAGGATAAAAAACTTCATTTGAAGACAGAGATTGCTTTGCTCTTTTCTGGAGATCTAAGGAAACTATGAGGTTGTGCCTTTGACATGTTTTTATGTTGTCAGATTTTCCAAATGCCTGCAAAGATTTTGTATGATCAAATAATGAGAAATATACATTTAAAAAATCCATTTAACTTTTGGAAGTCAACAAGCTAAATAAGGTTCACTTAGTGTCTTTGTTCTGTCTTTTGTTCCCCATTTATCTTAAATGCTGCTTCTTTCTTTCTCTGGTTCAAAGAAACAAGTAAGTAACTCTAAGACATAAAAGTGAATTATTGGCCTAGTGCTGACCTCATAATAGTAGTCTCTAGAGCACCCAATTAAAAAAATCACCTATGGTGCAAGTTCGATCATTTCAGACTTCCGCAATTTAAAATGCCTTCTTTTGTGTAAGGAGATGACAATGGCCTCATCCATAGGTCGTCTGTTTCTGGGCTGCTTTTCCAGGTGGATGCACATCGAACATCTTCCTTGCGGTTGTTCCTGGGAAAACTGACTGACTTTGGGAGATGGCTGTGGCTAAAGCAGCAAATGTACTGGCCCTCTGGAAGATGAACATTCTCAGCATTTTTTTTTAGCTAAAACTCAAATAATGACACCTAACTTGCAGATTTTATTTGGGTTAAATCAGATTTGTGAATGTATAGACCTAGACATTAAAACAGAGCACACCATACAGTAAATGCAGACCTGCATTTGTTGAATGTGAAAGTCTTTGTCTCATTAGTAACTACACTCACCATATATCAAAACGGGGGGGTAAAAAGAATCATTTCTTATGAAAAATAGATTAGCTGCTCTTAGAGGCAAGGACAGGAAAGGTCTTTAGTTATTTTAGATTTTAAAGTAAAACTGGCCTTAAAAAGAACGTGGAATTAATTGTTGTTATTCCTGCTGCTGTTGTTTGGAGGGAGGAAATTACATTTATGGTCCAAAACTGAGAACCAAAGCCACTGATGACCACACATCCAAGTTTGCATTCTGCCAACAATTTGCCCACAGCTGGGGCCAGAGTTGGCCAGAAACAGTAAGTTATGGAGAAGGGCCAGATTAGATTAACCCCCAAAGCAATACCACTTATCACCAATAAAGATGAGGAGATGAGCTTGTAGCTAGAGGGATTGTTAGAACAAAGTTATGCAGAGACTCTCTTCACTCTCTTCCATCACAGAGAGTCCAAGAGTAAAGATGTGGAGATGGTGAGGTAAACACAGCGATGCCTGCGTGCAGAGGAGATGGGTGGCATGTCTGCTTAGCCAGTTATCTCCTGTGTTACCAGGCATGGCCCAGGAGAGTCTGGGAGAGCAGGTGGGGATGGTGAGAAAGTGTGAGTGCTCTGTGGGTATGGTAGAGCCATGCAACGTAGTTGAGTTTGAAGCTTCTTGCCAGCATTCTACTCAAGATGCCCATGTAGATAAAGGATCCCAGCAGCAAGAACGTCATGGCAGGGGGTATAGAGGCGTTGGAGGCAGGTTGTAGAGGTGGAGGTGGCAGGGAGTGTAGAAAAGGCCAAGTCTGAGCTGGGCAGTGGGAGATCCCTCTCTTCTGTGGTCTTCTGAAGAGCCCACACACAAGCCCCGATGAGAGAACTGGCATTTAAATGAGAAATGAGAAAGAGCAACAGCCAGCTACAGAGAACTTTGCAATTTCCTGTTTAACTGAGATTTTTTAAATTTTATTTTTCTTCTTCTTACATTCCCCTCAAACACACTGAAGGAGCTATCACCTAGCAAAAGAGAAAAGGGCCTATTAAAGAGCTGATAAACTCCATCCTTTCCCCCACCGCCACCTCACACACACAATCTTAGCCGCACCAGCACCAGGCTAGTCTAACCGCATTAGAAAGAACAGGGGATTTCTTTGGTAGAGCATCACAACAAATCCTAAAACTTATGTGCAAATGCAAAGGATAAAAAATAGTCACAACAATCTTAAAGAACAAGGAGGAAACCATGTACACTACTAGGTTTCAAGACTTTTCATAAAACCATAGTAATTAGGACAGTGTGGTACTGGTGTAATAGACAGTAAGCACCACATTGTCTTATTACTGTGGAATAATGAAAAGGGAGTTCTGAAATAGACCCACATATGTGGTCCCCTGACTGACCACAAATAATGGTATTGGAGCAATGGAATATCCATATGATGAAAAAATTAACCTTGACACTCATCTCACATTATGCACAAAATTTACTTGAGGTGGACTATAAACAAAACGTGAGATATTCAACCATAAATCTGCTAAGTTCAACTGTGTGCCACGCTGCTTGGGAGAACAACTGCAGCAAACTCAGCAGCAACTGCAGCAAACTCAGAGGGTGCCCTCGGATATTCTGCATTTTGGAGGGAAACGGGGCAATACAAACTTCTGTCAGATTCCTCACGAAATATCAGCTAAGCTAATTCACACGTTCAACATCGCATTGCGCCACTTTTTATTCCGCTCATGCCTTAGCAAAATTAGGTGTTCAGTGGTGACTATCAAAAAAGCAAGCACTGTGCAAAAACTAGTGTGGAAGAGAGTAGGAAAGCTTGATCTAGGTAGGTACTTATTTTGTACATAAGCAAAAATTTAGAATTGTCATTTTATGTGCTTTTCTGTATTTATTTACTTTTATTTTTTCTATTATTACTTTTTTGAGATGGAGTCTTGCTCTGTCGCCCAGGCTGGAGTGCAGTGGCGCAATCTCAGTTCACGGCAACCTCCGCCTCCTGGGTTCATGCCATTCTCTGCCTCAGCCTCCCAAGTAGCTGGGACTACAAGCGCCTGCCACGATGCCCGGCTAATTTTTGTATTTTAGTAGAGATGAGGTTTCACCATGTTGGCCAGGCTGGTCTGGAATTCCTTACCTCAGGTGATCCGCCTGCCTCAGCCTCCCAAAGTGCTGGGATTACAGGTGTGAGCCACCATGCCTGGCCTGTATTTATATTATATCTCAATAAATAAATAACCAGAACTGAGTTTTAATTAATATAATAAGACAATTCTAAATTTAAGTGACTACACTATTATTTAATCTGACCAAACTAAGTGCAAAGGCATTCAACGTAGGGCAGTTAGTGGCAGTTATTTACAGAAATTGTCCATATTTACATGTCCTGCAATGTGATGTTTCTTCACATACAGTTTGTTTAATAAGCATAACATACCACGGTTCCTAAACCGTGAGTTTGGGTTCTTACTGCACTATTTATTGTTTGCATAACCCTGAGAAGTTACCTCACCTCTTTTAAAACCAAGATAAAAATGTCACCCTACCTTACCAGATTGTTGAAAAAATTAAAGGTGTCATGTATGCCTAGCAGAGAGTGAGAGCTAAATAAATGTTATATTTTGTCTTTATTAGTATTATCATTTCTCTTCCACAAATCTCTAGTAAACATGACTAGGCTTTTATAAACAATTTATGCAACCACAGGAATGTCATTTTCAGCATAGACACAATTTTTGTCACTGATTGAGATCAGTGCAAAACCAGGAAACCAGAAGGAAGTGGAGAAGAGAAAAGGCAGGTGGCATTGAATGGATGTGGGTGAGTCAGAGTGAAGGTGTTTGCAGCACAGCCTTGAAAGAGGGAGAAACGCAGATGCACACCATCCCCACTCCTTAATGCGCACTCCAGTGTCTGTGGGCAGAAGAGCCTGCCGCCACCACGGCGGAACTGAAGCAATCCAGCCCCAGCAGAGGAGAGAGCTGAGAAATGGCAATTCAGCTGGACCAGCATTATTCACCTCAAGAGTTCAGCTTACTCTGCGTCTCTGACCCGGAGATGGTATCAGACAAGTAGAGAGGAGAGGAGTCATCATTGCAGAGCTGTGAAATCACTATGGCAATACATATTTCAATATCTGATTAAAGAGATTAAGATTTGATACAGTGCACATAAAGCCTGTATCAAACCAAATTAATTCTAGTCATATTTTTTAAACTGTGGAAGAAGATCCTGAAAATTTTCTAGTGATTATTAGGTAATAAATGAAAATCAACACTCCTGTATTCACTAATTTAAGACCTGTGAAATGTTTCTGTAGTCTAACCACTGTGCTATTTTACTAGTTTTCATAAACAACCAAAAAATATTCATAGCTTCACTGAAGACCTTGGGTTCTCAGCCCTCCACTGTGCCCATAAAGCCTTATGTTTCTTTCCTGGGAATTCTCCTATGACAGAATTATTTTAGAATGTTGATCCTCAAAAATTGGGACATGATACTTTAGCAAAACATCATTTTGAGCCAATATTTGCAATGCTGAGATTTCTAAGTCCACATAAAGGTCTCCAGACTGTTTGTAATTCCCCATTATTTATGTTGAAATAATGGACCTGATTTTCCTTCTCTTTGACTCTACTAATCAGTAAAAATCTTTTTGCTAGGGTGAACTGGTTTTCAATGGCCACCCTGAGCAATATATTTCTTAGCTTTGGAGACATAAGCATTCTAAAGAGAGGCTTTCTTCATTGTCTAAGGTAGAGTTTTATGAGTAGTAATGGCAAAGATAGTCTGCTTTTGCCTCTGAGCAGGGAAAACCTAGCTGATTATGCTGACCTTTCAAATTTTCACTCCATGTGCCCATAATTCTGACCCCCTCATGTTCTATTTTTAGATACTAGGGGATATTAGGATCAGATCCAGTTGGAACTGACCTCTAAGGTAAATATGAACAAATTAAAGGGTAAAAGATCTGGGAGACATTTGACACATCCCCCACGGGCCCTGAAATAATAAAAAACAAAGAATCCTAAGAGACAAGCTTCCTGGGCAAGAATGTGAGGAGTGTTTGACATTGCCTGGGATGGCACGGCGGAAATGAATACACCTGCTGTTCTGGAAGAGCTGATGTGGGCTTGAAGCCCCAGCTGTGATAACAAGACCACAGTGACCCGTGACTACGTCTTGACTGAAATGCAGGCCTTGAATCTAATCATTGTGTTGAAAAGAGGTGTTGAGCCTACGAAATGAAGGCATGTCTGGAAAAAGAGACACAGCAATATGTTACAGCCAAACTATAATCTAAATCCCACAAACGCATGTCATCCCACCTGCTATTCGTTTCCGTCAGAGCTGTCACCCAGTGATCTAGAAACGAGAAAGGGGAGCAACAGCTTTGAAAAGAAATGCTACATGGTGGGGAGTGAAGACAGCTATGTGGCTGATAGCTCATGCTCCTTGTGTTATTTCCACCCCTTCGGTGGTACTCCATGAATTTCACCCCACATCTGAGAAATGGCTGGTTCAGCAAGCTAACAGCATACAGATCCTACTCTTTTCTATTTTAACCAAAAAAATTCCTAAGTGGTATTCCTTAAATCTTGAGCAACTACGATTCCTTAAATCTTGAGCAAATCTTGAGAAAACTATGTCGTACTAAAAATAAAAAGGTATTCTCCTGGGAAGTGGGCCCTATGTCTATTAAACATACTTAGCAAAATCTCTTGCTGTGTCGGTATTTCCAGAAGGTCCTTAGCACTCACCAGGAACAGTGGTTGCCTCTAGGAATGAAATGGGATGACGGAAGACCTGGGGAGCAGTGGCAGGAGGAGACACTCATGATGCACCTTTTGGCCATAGGTAGTTATTTTCCACATGCATGGAGTGCCTTGTATTGAACCAGAACTAGTAATTATAATACCTTGCATTTACATAATGTTTTGCAGCTGTATTAATGTCTTCATATCAGTTCTCTCATTTAATTCTCTGTTGTTTGCATGAGGTTGCCTTACTAGCTCCATTTTGCCACTGAGGAAATTGAATTCAAAGGGCTTTAGAGATTTACTATGAGGAAATATTGGAGGCCAAGCTAACACGTAAGCTTCCAAACACTCAGCAAATCTTTCTTCCACCACACCACATTACTCTCAAGGAGGAGGGAGAGGAGAAATGAGGAAAAAAAGCCAAATTTTTTCCTTCAAAGGTAAGTAGTTAGAATCATCAGTTTTGGAATGTATTATCAGTAAAGGAACCAAGGTGATCTTCCTGAGGCCAATGTAAAATCTAATTCAAATTATTTGAATTATTAAGCAATAAGATGTCTTCCCTTTACGTTTAATTCAACAAGCATAAATAACAGCATAAATTTTAATTATCTGGGAATAATTAGGAACACATTTCTTTCCTATCACACTTAGGGCCAAATCACATTTCTAAAGTGAAACCTAATCTAAGAACTTTCCAATACAATATCATATAATTAGGTAATTTAAAAATACATTTTGAAAATGAAATCTCCAAGCATCATTCATTAACAGACTCTGATATTCCCTTCAGTCACTGTCATGGCTAAGAAAGCAACTCCAACCCACACACTGCAAATATGAAGGACCACGAAAGGCACGCAGGCTCTGGTTTGCATAGTGAAGATGAGCGACCGTGTTCCTAAGCATGAAGGACCATGAAAGGCACGCAGGCTCTGGTTTGCATAGTGAAGATGAGCGACCGTGTTCCTAAGCATGAAGGACCACGAAAGGCATGCAGGCTCTGGTTTGCATAGTGTGGATGAGCGACTGTGTCCCTAAGCATGAAGGACCACGAAAGGCATGCAGGCTCTGGTTTGCGTAGTGAAGATGAGTGTCTGTTCCTAAGCATGAAGGAGGACCACATGAGGATCCTGGACACCTACTGCATGAATGTATTCGCCCTTTCAGGTCTAGGGACCTGGTAACCATTTATTATTTGTACTCTGATTTTCTTCCATTTCTTTCTCCAGTCCATAAATGTAACTTAAGTGACTTATTAACACTGATGGTTTGATCACCAATAGCAAGTTCCAGTTTCAGTCTTAGTGTAGGTGCCCTTATTACAGACTTGAGATAAAGTCCAAGGCTAACCACTCTTACAAGTTTACACTTTGCTAAAGGGTACCTTGGGACAGAGGGAGTGCAGAGCAGAGAAAACCTACCTGTGCAACTGAGAAGGCCGCTCAGGCCACGGGGACAGGGCAGGAATGCTCTCAGGAGTGTCCCCTGCACCTGAACTTGATTTCACGCCATCACCTTCCGCCTCTTAACCAGCATCTCCTGGACAGTCAGCCGAGTGTTTCCATGATACCAGCCATACCTGATGCCAGGAGACTCGCTACACTTGGAAGCTCTTCAAGGTGGGACTTTCTGTCTTGTTCAGTTTTTCATTCTCAGTAGTCAACACAGGACCTTATACTTAAAGGAAATAAGTATAACGTCCTAACAAGTGCTTCTGGAATAAATGATCATGGCTGAAATGAGCATCTGAAATGACGATATATCTAGAAAGAACAGAAAATATACACTGGACGTATTTTAGGTGGCTGAGATTATTGAATGGGAAAATAGTGAGATCTTACAATTGAATGGGTATCATAAATGCTTCCTGTATAATATCTGATTTTGCCCTTATCACAAAGAATTCATATAACCAAAACTATCTCCCTAAAAATGTCTTCCTAAACATGAAAACAAATTATTTGACTTCATAATGCAGCTTTTTACCCCAAAGTGTCTGACCCTTTCACTAAACATTACTCGGTATTAAATAGTATAGATATAATTTCTCTGAAATTCACTGAATATGATTTTCAAATGCTGTAATTCCTAAAAATAATATCTAGGCTGCCTTTAATTTCTCATGTCAGTAATAATTAATGTCCCTACAAAGCTTATGGGGAATCAGAAACATTTGTTTATAACATACTGAAGAATTTTTAAACAACCACAGAATATGAATATAATAAGATAAAATATTAAATATTTCCAGGCATGCTTATCTTTGTGAACTGAATCTTGGAGAAGCAGGATTGAAAATAAGAGCTATCTTTGAGGCTCTAGCACCTACAAGAGACACCCTCCCTCTCCACCGTGTCACCTGTCTCACCCGTGTGAGTCTCCACACAGAAACCAGTCATGGCCCTGCCTTTGCCCCCCTTGAAATCACCCAAGAGGATGCTTCAAACTCAGGCAAGCACAACTGATACTCACTCTGCATGCGACAGCAGGGGAGTGACCTTACGAGAAACTAATGGGCCTCGCTTCCTGAGAATCACTGTCAGAGCCCGTAACATAAGATAAATCACAGCCAAGGATTTTTGAAAAGTTTCCTGATGAGAGAACCATGACCTTTTCAAGGGTAGTGATGGATTGATCAGGGCAAGCAATAGGTAGATTTTTTAAAACAAGCCTGGCGAAAAAAACAATGATATATATCTACCAAAGTTGGCTGGAATACCCGGCTGGTGTCCCAGTCAGGAAACACAGGAAAAGGTTACATCTGTAGAAAGAAAAACAGCTTGTTAAGCAAAACAATGCAGTTAAAAACCAAGCTCACTGTAAGAAATGCCGCGTGGGCCAGTGGGGACGGCCATGCCGAAAGCGCTCAGTGCTCCTGAAGCTGGGTGGCCAGGTGTTTTCACACAAAAAGGCCTTCCCTGCTCGGGCCATGGGATAAGCCTTTGAGTGGAGACCTAGGAAGGAGCTGAAGTCTGCGTTGGGGGTGGAAGGTGGCAATCCCATTAGACAGCTCTCCCTCGTGTGAATTTATGAAGCCCCACGCAGACTGTGACTTTTAAAATAATCACTTAGTTGGTTTTAGCACATGTCGCAGATTTCATTACAGGCCGCCCCTTAACGAGCATTGTAACCTGGAGGAAAGAATCCAAATTCTTTAGTCACCACCTAACTCCACATTCATTACCTTGTTGCCCAGGGTGGAGTCCAAAAGCAGCATCTATGTTTATTTCTCCATAGAAAATAAACGTTCACCAAGGCACGTCTGTTCTATTACTTTTTTATTCTTAACTAGACCGTTAATATAATTGTTGGTTGCATTGATTTCAACTTCCCCACACGATGCAATTGGCTTTCTGCCGTATTTCAATCACACTAACCAAGAGAGACATCAGATGTTTAAAATAGACTCTGGACCAAAACCGAGGGCAGGGGAGAGGTGGGCGGGCCAGGCACAGCTCTGCTGAAGCACTGGTTTGACATGTCGAGTTGAAGTGTTTTACTCCAAACAGCTGTCTCCCTGCCAAGGTGAAGGCTAGATGGTAAAAAGGAAAGTTCCTTTTTTTCTGATAAACTAGGCTCTCTCCATAGGAAGTACTCTGAAGGCCCCCAGCTCCGACTCCGAGAGCAGAGCCCAGACTCTCCTACTTCGAACGGACATGAGCTCTATGCCTCTTGGGGTTTCTCTGCCTGCCCAGTCACCCTGGATAACGTGCTTGCCCTAGATTGTCTCCTAGGCCAAGTCCTCTCCAAGTTCTTGGCCCTTTGTCCTAAGGTTGGATCTCTTCCTCTCGCTTCCCTTGCTCCGAGCTGTGTCTCTGGATACACCCCCTGCAAACGACGCTTCCTGAGCTCGGCTGGCATCTGGCTGTGTTCAGCAAATGGGAAGCCCAGACAGGGGACTGGAGAGCAGGAAGACAGGAGAACAAGGAGATTTCTCCTCCTTCAGCAGCCGCAGCAGCAACGGCGTGTCCTCCACAGTTAACTGGAAGAAAAAGCCTGAGTCCTGGTCTCCTCCTGGACTGCCAAAGGGTCTTCTCCTTAGACATGTAAATACACAAATATTCGCATTTTTTAGTAACCCTTTAAAGATTTAACTGCCGGAATTTAACACCAGTAAAAACAAATGTAGCAATATGAAATTGCAACTCACTGAGGGCATTATGTTTCAGAAAGTGAAGAAATGCGAGGCCAGCTCCAGCCGCACGCAGCGCACCTGTCCACGAGTCTGGCCGCAGCGCACCTGTCCCCGAGTCCGGCCGCAGCGCACCTGTCCACAAGTGTCCACCTCTAAGGCAGTGTTCTTCAACACGCACCACGCGCATCCTCAGCTGGGCATTTCCAGAGGGAGCAAGTCTCTGAGAGGCAGGTCTAGCGCTAAGCTTTCAACAAGTCGCAGGCTATACTTCCGAACACAAAGAAATGAGAATGACTTCACATCTCAGCAGAGCCAAAAGCAGTAGACAAATAAGCAACGATGAGATTTGGTTTTTTTTCTTCCCTCTTTCCGGACACTCACTCCTGCCTCCCATCGTACCGTCCTGGAAACAGGAAGAAGGTGTGTATCTTGGTACAAGCATCAACTATGCACAGGTCCACTTTAATGGGGTAAAGGACAGGGAGTGAGATAAATAAATATGATGCGATGTCTCCAAAAGAGGAACATTACACTGGGAACATCCATACACGGTTCAAAATTGCATCCATATTTAGTTATTACTTAGAAATCATCAAGGAAAGAAATGCTTTCTTTTTTTTTTCTAGGACTTCTTTTAAGAGAGGTTAGGGAAAGCTTTCAGTTATATTTTCTGTCACCTTCCGCAATTTTAAATTGGATGAAATAGTGGGAGACTTTGTTTTTATGGCTTTCTCCTTTCAACTATTGTAACAAACATAGCTACCTATGCTTAGCATGCTTTAAGGCTGTATGGGACCATCTCTATATTATGGCCCAAACAAAATTGGCTTCTGGAACAAGTGTGGCTGTTTTGAACTCGATCCACTTGAGTCGGAGATGAGGTTGACAGAGAGAGGACCAACTGTGTATAAAGCTCCTTTAGGGAATATCCTGCTAATGTGATCTACATTTCAAAGTGGAAACCAAATATTCACTGCCACTGGAGTCTTGATATTTCTGGGATTATCAAAAGTACTTTCCTCTGACACAGGAGATATCATAACCTGACTTGGGGTTGAATTCAAATTCTGCCACTAAATAGCTGTGCATGACACGTCATCTTTTTTTCATCTTTAAGATGAAGTCCTGAAATTTCAGGACACTTGCAACTTCAAAACGTATCATTCCATGCAACAGAAAGGCAACACATTGATGACTCCTGTCCCGAATCATATTCTATCTTGTACCTTTCTATCAGTTGGTAAAACTGCAGATGCTGACTTAGACAACAAGCTTTATATCATTGACTATGAAACAATGTCAGGTTGAACTTTGTACGAAGGGGTAGGTTGGTAAACACCTGGCCAGTGCAGTGAAGTGTGGCTGGTGTTGGAGGGAAAGGAAGAGGAGACGACAGTCACATTAGGAAGCTGCTCTGCCCTGAGATGAGCTCAGCGATTCACAAAACGCCATCACCAAACCTGGCACCTACTGCCAGTCCCCAGTGACTCCCTGGGTAATAAAGAAATTCCAGGGCTCTTAAGAGTCGTCGTCTGTTTGAGGGGTAGCTCTAATGTGACTAGATCTAAACAGAACCACTTAAAATGCCGACAGAATAGAGAAACCTGTAGTGGAATCCCCTGACTTCCCAGCTTTCTAGGGCCTGCTCTGAAGATTCTGGTCCTGGTCCCCACCTACAGCTAAGAATAGATTTCAGAGGCCGAGGCAGGTGGATCACGAGGTCATGAGATCGAGACCATCCTGGCTAACACCGTGAAACCCCGTCTCTACTAAAAATATAAAAAATTAGCTGGCTTGGTGGTGGGCGCCTGTAGTCCCAGCTACTCGGGAGGCTGAGGCAGGAGAATGGCGTGAACCCGGGAGGCGGAGCTTGCAGTGAGCCCAGATCTCGCCACTGCACTCAAGACTGGGAGAGAGAGCAAGACTCCATCTCAAAAAAAGAATAGATGTCAGGTGGGCACAGGATCCAAACTATGGACTAAAGTTGCCATTAGAAGCTTGCTCTGAAATTGCTTTACAATCCTGTACTCTTTCTGTCCACCAATTTTGACACCAATGGAATATGAAACTTTACGTTTAAACTCAGTATCACCCTTTCATGTGAATTCAGAAATTCCAAGATGGTGATCATTTCTATGTGACGTTAGCAACAATTAAACTAACGTCTCTTTGCCTGGACTTCTTTTCCAGAAAGTGTCCTATGTGGTGGAGGGTGGAGGAGTGAAAGGGGCCTAGGAAGAGAGTGTCTAATTTAGTCTTGAGATATTACAGTGGCTTCAATACTGTTGTGTACAGGGATCTTTACTGTTTTACATATTATTTCATGTGTACATGGGCTCAATTACTTTTGAAACAAATTAGCCAAAAAAGACAACTGATGCTTAAGCCTATCACTTAGCTAAATACATACAAGAATAGCTGTATTTCAATAGGCATGAAGACAAGAATAAGGATGAGATCATGTCCTTGGGTGAAGCAAATTTTGGCTTAGTTCTCTATTGAATATTTTATCAGGGGAATCAAAAAGTTGAGAAGATTCTGTTCTGCCATGTAAACTAAAAGCCACCCAGTAGATGAGAAATTGAAAACCACAAAGCTTGGGGAAAAAAATGAATGCTTTAGAGCATAAATTTTTCCATTAAATTATGCCAATAAACTTAGGACCTTGAAAGTTACTATGCTCAAATATATTTCAAAAGGAAGAAAATGCTCTTTTCAAAGTAGGGACTAGAAATTGAATGTATAGAGTAGCAAGATTTTTTAATTCCACTAGCATAAATAAACCAATTTATTACTTCCTATTAATTCAATATCAATCTGTTTGAATTGAATGTACATTTATTAATATAGAAGATACCTTTGCAAATTGCTCAATTAAAATAAAAACAAGCCTAGGTATATGACTATCTCTATATTTTCTAAGCTTTCCAGATGCATACTTGTTTTCCCACTGGTTGCGTAAGAATACCAAACATTAATTGAGGGTTGTTATATCAAAAAGAGTAAGAACAACTTCTGAGATTCGAAAGCCATGGGAAGTTGCTGAACTCAAGTATTCATCTCATACTAGTCAAAGTTAGGGATAGTAGAAGAGGAGGGGTTGGGTTAAAGTGTAGGACCCCATGTTGCTGCAATGATTGGAAGCTCCTAATTAACAGGAAGTATGGAGTGGAATAAAGTGAACTTATCATGGGGACCCTGGTGTTCCCTGTAGTGCTTTCTCCTCCTCTCTACTGGACACTCTTTTTCTTCTTTGTCTTTTTCCATTCAATAAAAGCAAGCCATTTATATGATTCAATAGACTGTGGATTGAGAATCAGAATTTTGGAGTTGTTAGTAATTAACAAAGTAATTATCCAAGCATTTAATTTCACTGGACATGATAGCAGTTGAAATGACAATTTCTTGTTATTCCTTGATTCTACATTTAAAACACATTATTGTCCCATTTTATTTCAAGGAGGAATAAAATAGGGGAGAGAAATATTAAGCAAAGGGAAATGAAGAAAGAAGCTTAAAATGAAATGTGAGACATAATCCCAGGATTATCTTCAGAAAAATTCTTAAATCTTAGTTTGGTTGTGTACAGGTTAATCTATGTAGGCCCTCCTTCTGGGATTTTCTTATCTGTAATAGAAATATTGATTCCACTATGACCTCTGTCTCTCTTGGCTGTTAGAACTCCAGATGCCAATAATGCAGGAAAAGGCACAAAGTAAACAACTTTGTCAAGAGCCATGGATACAGCAACCGCTCACTATATGGTGAAGGGAATACCCTTCTCTGTAGCTAAAAGATGACTCAATTTCTAAGTGGTTATTTCCACCCAAATATCACATTCTTCCAACTTTCCATCATCATCCACTCCTACCCCAGTGCAACTTATGCAAATGTCAGCACCCTACACCAAACCTTTCCTACACCAACCCTTTCCTACACCACCCCTTTCCTACACCAACCCCTTCGTACACCAAATCTTTCCTACATCAACCCTTTCCTACACCACCCCTTTCCTACAACACCTGTTTCC
Organism: Homo sapiens; assembly: GCF_000001405.40. Taxonomy (NCBI): domain Eukaryota; kingdom Metazoa; phylum Chordata; class Mammalia; order Primates; family Hominidae; genus Homo; species Homo sapiens. The sequence goes on from NT_187679.1 coordinate 196,000, forward strand.
TACACCAAACCTTTCCTACGACACCCCTTTCCTACACCAAACTTTTCCTATACCACCCCTTCCCTACACCACCCCTTTCCTACACCAACCCTTGCCTACACCAACCCTTTCCTACACCAACCCTTGCCTCCACCACCCCTTTCCTGCAACACCCTTTCCTACAACATCCCTTTCCTACACCACCCCTTTCCTACACCAACCCTTCCCTACACCACCCCTTTCCTACACCACCCTTTCCTACCCCACCCCTTTCCTACACCACCCTTTCCTACACCACCCTTTCCTACACCACCCCTTTCCTACACCCCCCTTTCCTACACCACCCCTTTCCTACACCAACCCTTTCCTACACCACCCCTTTCCTACACCACCCCTTTCCTACACCACCCTTTCCCTACACCACCCTTTCCTACACCACCCCTTTCCTACACCACCCCTTTCCTACACCAACCCTTTCCTACACCAACCCTTTCCTACACCAACCCTTTCCTACACCAACCCTTCCCTACACCACCCCTTTCCTACACCAACCACACCACCCTTTCCTACACCACCCTTTCCTACACCACCCTTTCCTACACCACCCCTTTCCTACACCACCCCTTTCCTACACCAACCCTTCCCTACACCACCCCTTTCCTACACCACCCTTTCCTACACCACCCCTTTCCTACACCACCCCTTTCCTACACCACCCCTTCCTACACCACCCCTTCCCTACACCACCCCTTTCCTACACCAACCCTTCCCTACACCACCCTTTCCTACACCACCCTTTCCTACACCACCCTTTCCTACACCACCCCTTTCCTACACCAACCCTTCCCTACACCAACCCTTTCCTACACCAACCCTTCCCTACACCAACCCTTTCCTACACCACCCTTTCCTACACCACCCCTTTCCTACACCACCCCTTTCCTACACCACCCCTTTCATACACCACCCCTTTCCTACACCACCCCTTTCCTACACCAACCCTTTCCTACACCACCCCTTTCCTACACCAACCCTTTCCTACACCACCCCTTTCCTACACCACCCCTTTCCTACACCAACCCTTCCCTACACCACCCCTTTCCTACACCAACCCTTTCCTACACCACCCTTTCCTACACCACCCTTCCCCTACACCACCCCTTCCCTACACCACCCCTTTCCTACACCACCCCTTTCCTACACCAACCCTTCCCTACACCACCCCTTTCCTACACCACCCCTTTCCTACACCACCCTTTCCTACACCACCCTTTCCTACACCACCCTTTCCTACACCACCCCTTTCCTACACCACCCCTTTCCTACACCAACCCTTCCCTACACCACCCCTTTCCTACACCAACCCTTTCCTACACCACCCTTTCCTACACCAACCCTTTCCTACACCACCCCTTTCCTACACCACCCTTTCCTACACCAACCCTTTCCTACACCCCTTTCCTACACCAACCCTTTCCTACACCACCCTTTCCTACACCACCCCTTTCCTACACCACCCCTTTCATACACCACCCCTTTCCTACACCACCCCTTTCCTACACCAACCCTTTCCTACACCAACCCTTTCCTACACCACCCCTTTCCTACACCAACCCTTTCCTACACCACCCTTTCCTACACCACCCTTTCCTACACCACCCCTTTCCTACACCACCCCTTCCCTACACCACCCCTTTCCTACACCACCCTTTCCTACACCACCCCTTTCCTACACCACCCCTTTCCTACACCACCCCTTCCCTACACCCCCCCTTTCCTACCTACACCAACCCTTTCCTACACCACCCCTTTCCTACACCACCCTTTCCTACACCACCCTTTCCTACACCACCACACCACCCCTTTCCTACACCACCCCTTTCCTACACCAACCCTTTCCTACACCACCCCTTTCCTACACCACCCCTTTCATACACCACCCCTTTCCTACCCCACCCCTTTCCTACACACCACCCCTTTCCTACACCAACCCTTTCCTACACCAACCCTTTCCTACACCAACCCTTTCCTACACCAACCCTTTCCTACACCACCCCTTTCATACACCACCCCTTTCCTACACCACCCTTTCCTACAACATCCCTTTCCTACACCACCCCTTTCCTACACCACCCCTTTCCTACCAACCCTTCCCTACACCACCCCTTTCCTACACCACCCTTTCCTACACCACCCCTTTCCTACACCAACCCTTCCCTACACCCCTTTCCTACACCAACCCTTTCCTACACCACCCCTTTCCTACAACACCCTTTCCTACCCAACCCTTTCCTACACCCCTTTCCTACACCAACCCTTTCCTACACCACCCTTTCCTACCCCACCCTTTCCTACACCACCCCTTTCCTACACCAACCCTTCCCTACACCAACCCTTTCCTACACCACCCTTTCCTACACCACCCTTTCCTACACCTACACCACCCCTTTCCTACACCACCCTTTCCTACACCACCCCTTTCCTACACCACCCTTTCCTACACCACCCTTTCCTACACCACCCCTTCCCTACACCACCCCTTCCCTACACCAACCCTTCCCTACACCACCCCTTTCCTACACCACCCTTTCCTATACACCACCCCTTTCCTACACCACCCCTTTCCTACACCACCCCTTTCATACACCACCCCTTTCCTACACCACCCCTTTCCTACACCAACCCTTTCCTACACCAACCCTTTCCTACACCACCCCTTTCCTACACCAACCCTTTCCTACACCACCCCTTTCCTACACCACCCTTTCCTACACCACCCCTTTCCTACACCACCCCTTTCCTACACCAACCCTTCCCTACACCACCCCTTTCCTACACCAACCCTTCCCTACACCACCCTTTCCTACACCACCCCTTTCCTACACCAACCCTTCCCTACACCACCCTTTCCTACTACACCACCCTTTCCTACACCACCCTTTCCTACACCACCCCTTTCCTACACCACCCCTTTCCTACACCAACCCTTCCCTACACCACCCCTTTCCTACACCACCCTTTCCTACCCCACCCTTTCCTACACCACCCCTTTCCTACACCACCCCTTTCCTACACCACCCTTTCCCACACCACCCCTTTCCTACACCAACCCTTTCCTACACCAACCCTTTCCTACACCACCCCTTTCCTACACCAACCCTTTCCTACACCAACCCTTTCCTACACCACCCCTTTCCTACACCACCCTTTCCCACACCACCCCTTTCCTACACCAACCCTTTCCTACACCAACCCTTCCCTACACCACCCTTTCCTACACCACCCCTTTCCTGCACCACCCCTTTCCTACACCAACCCTTCCCTACCCCCCCCTTTCCTACCCCCCCCTTCCCTACACCACCCCTTCCCTACACCACCCCTTTCCTACACCACCCCTTTCCTACACCAACCCTTCCCTACACCCCCCCTTTCCTACACCACCCTTTCCTACACCACCCCTTTCCTACACCACCACCCCTTTCCTACACCACCCCTTTCCTACACCACCCCTTTCCTACACCACCCCTTTCCTACACCAACCCTTCCCTACACCACCCTTTCCTACACCACCCCTTTCCTACACCAACCCTTCCCTACACCACCCCTTTCCTCTACACCAACCCTTTCCTACACCAACCCTTTCCTACACCAACCCTTTCCTACACCAACCCTTTCCTACACCACCCCTTTCCTACACCAACCCTTTCCTACACCACCCCTTTCCTACACCAACCCTTCCCTACACCACCCCTTTCCTACACCAAACCCTTTCCTACACCAACCCTTTCCTACACCACCCCTTTCCTACACCACCCTTTCCTACACCACCCTTTCCTACACCACCCTTTCCTACACCAACCCTTCCCTACACCACCCCTTTCCTACACCACCCTTTCCTACACCACCCCTTTCCTACACCAACCCTTTCCTACACCAACCCTTTCCTACACCACCCCTTTCCTACACCACCACCCCTTTCCTACACCACCCTTTCCTACACCACCCTTTCCTACACCACCCCTTCCCTACACCACCCCTTTCCTACACCAACCCTTCCCTACACCCCTTTCCTACACCAACCCTTTCCTACACCACCCTTTCCTACACCACCCCTTTCCTACACCACCCCTTTCCTACACCAACCCTTCCCTACACCACCCCTTTCCTACCCCACCCTTTCCTACACCACCCCTTTCCTACACCACCCCTTTCCTACACCAACCCTTTCCTACACCAACCCTTTCCTACACCACCCCTTTCCTACACCACCCCTTTCCTACACCAACCCTTCCCTACACCACCCCTTTCCTACACCACCCTTTCCTACACCACCCTTTCCTACACCAACCCTTCCCTACACCCCTTTCCTACACCAACCCTTTCCTACACCACCCTTTCCTACACCACCCCTTTCCTACACCACCCCTTTCCTACACCAACCCTTCCCTACACCACCCCTTTCCTACCTACACCACCCCTTTCCTACACCAACCCTTTCCTACACCAACCCTTTCCTACACCACCCCTTTCCTACACCACCCCTTTCCTACACCAACCCTTCCCTACACCACCCCTTTCCTACACCAACCCTTCCCTACACCCCTTTCCTACACCAACCCTTTCCTACACCACCCTTTCCTACACCACCCCTTTCCTACACCACCCCTTTCCTACACCAACCCTTTCCTACACCAACCCTTTCCTACACCACCCCTTTCCTACACCAACCCTTTCCTACACCACCCTTTCCTACCACCACCCCTTTCCTACACCACCCTTCCCTACACCACCCCTTCCCTACACCACCCCTTTCCTACACCACCCCTTTCCTACACCAACCCTTCCCTACACCACCCCTTTCCTACACCAACCCTTCCCTACACCCCTTTCCTACACCACCCCTTTCCTACACCACCCTTTCCTACACCACCCCTTTCCTACACCACCCCTTTCCTACACCACCCCTTTCATACACCACCCCTCCTTTCCTACACCACCCCTTTCCTACACCAACCCTTTCCTACACCAACCCTTTCCTACACCAACCCTTTCCTACACCACCCCTTTCCTACACCACCCCTTTCCTACACCACCCTTTCCACCACCCCTTTCCTACACCACCCTTTCCTACACCACCCTTTCCTACACCACCCTTCCCTACACCACCCCTTTCCTACACCACCCTTTCCTACACCACCCTTTCCTACACCACCCCTTTCCTACACCAACCCTTCCCTACACCAACCCTTTCCTACACCACCCATTCCCTACCCCACCCCTTTCCTACACCACCCCTTCCCTACCCCACCCTTTCCCACACCACCCCTTTCCTACACCAACCCTTTCCTACACCAACCCTTTCCTACACCACCCCTTTCCCACCCCACCCTTTCCCACACCACCCCTTTCCTACACCAACCCTTTCCTACACCAACCCTTCCCTACACCACCCTTTCCTACACCACCCCTTTCCTACACCAACCCTTCCCTACACCACCCCTTTCCTACACCAACCCTTCCCTACACCACCCCTTTCCTACACCAACCCTTTCCTACACCACCCCTTTCCTACACCAACCCTTTCCTACACCACCCCTTTCCTACACCAACCCTTTCCTACACCACCCCTTTCCTACACCACCCCTTTCCTACACCACCCCTTTCCTACACCAACCTACACCACCCCTTTCCTACACCAACCCTTCCCTACACCAACCCTTTCCTACACCACCCTTTCCTACACCACCCCTTTCCTACACCACCCCTTTCCTACACCACCCCTTTCCTACACCACCCCTTTCATACACCACCCCTTTCCTACACCACCCCTTTCATACACCACCCCTTTCCTACACCACCCCTTCCCTACACCACCCCTTTCCTACACCACCCTTTCCTACCCCACCCTTTCCTACACCACCCTTTCCTACACCAACCCTTCCCTACACCACCCCTTTCCTACACCACCCTTTCCTACACCACCCCTTTCCTACACCAACCCTTTCCTACACCACCCTTTCCCACCCCACCCCTTTCCTACACCAACCCTTTCCTACACCAACCCTTTCCTGCAACACCCTTTCCTACAACATCCCTTTCCTACACCACCCCTTTCCTACACCACCCCTTCCCTACACCACCCCTTTCCTACACCAACCCTTCCCTACACCCCTTTCCTACACCAACCCTTTCCTACACCACCCCTTTCCTACAACACCCTTTCCTACCCAACCCTTTCCTACACCCCTTTCCTCCACCAACCCTTTCCTCCCCCCCCCTTTCCTACACCACCCTTTCCTACACCACCCCTTTCCTACACCAACCCTTTCCTACACCACCCCTTTCCTACACCACCCCTTTCCTACACCACCCTTTCCTACACCACCCCTTTCCTACACCACCCCTTCCCTACACCACCCTTTCCTACACCACCCCTTTCCTACACCACCCCTTCCCTACACCCCCCCTTTCCTACACCAACCCTTTCCTACACCACCCCTTTCCTACCCCACCCCTTCCCTCCACCACCCCTTTCCTCCCCCACCCTTTCCTACACCACCCCTTTCCTACACCACCCCTTTCCTACACCACCCCTTTCCCTACACCACCCTTTCCTACACCACCCTTTCCTACACCCCCCCTTTCCTACACCACCCCTTTCCTACACCAACCCTTCCCTACACCACCCCTTTCCTACACCACCCCTTTCCTACACCAACCCTTCCCTACACCAACCCTTTCCTACACCACCCCTTTCCTACACCAACCCTTTCCTACACCAACCCTTCCCTACACCACCCCTTTCCTACACCAACCCTTTCCTACACCACCCCTTTCCTACACCAACCCTTCCCTACACCACCCCTTTCCTACACCACCCTTTCCTACACCACCCCTTTCCTACACCAACCCTTTCCTACACCAACCCTTTCCTGCGCCCCCCCTTTCCTACACCACCCTTTCCTACACCACCCCTTTCCTACACCACCCCTTTCCTACACCACCCCTTTCCTACACCAACCCTTCCCTACACCACCCCTTTCCTACACCACCCTTTCCTACACCACCCCTTTCCTACACCACCCCTTTCCTACACCACCCCTTTCCTACACCAACCCTTCCCTACACCACCCCTTTCCTACACCAACCCTTCCCTACACCCCTTTCCTACACCAACCCTTTCCTACACCACCCTTTCCTACACCACCCTTTCCTACACCACCCCTTTCCTACACCACCCCTTTCCTACACCAACCCTTCCCTACACCACCCCTTTCCTACACCACCCCTTCCCTACACCACCCTTTCCTACACCACCCCTTTCCTACACCAACCCTTCCCTACACCCCTTTCCTACACCAACCCTTTCCTACACCACCCCTTTCCTACAACACCCTTTCCTACCCAACCCTTTCCTACACCCCTTTCCTACACCAACCCTTTCCTACACCACCCTTTCCTACACCACCCCTTTCCTACACCACCCCTTTCCTACACCACCCCTTCCCTACACCACCCCTTTCCTACACCACCCTTTCCTACACCACCCTTTCCTACACCACCCCTTTCCTACACCTCCCCTTTCCTACACCAACCCTTCCCTACCCCATTTCCAATCTCCAACCCTTTCCTACACCAACCCTTTCCTACACCAACCCTTTCCTACACCAACCCTTTCCTACACCACCCCTTTCATACACCACCCCTTTCCTACACCACCCTTTCCTACACCAACCCTTTCCTACACCACCACCCTTTCCTACACCACCCTTTCCTACACCACCCCTTTCCTACACCACCCTTTCCTACACCACCCCTTTCCTACACCAACCCTTTCCCTTTCCTACACCACCCCTTTCCTACACCAACCCTTTCCTACACCACCCCTTTCCTACACCACCCCTTTCCTACACCAACCCTTCCCTACACCACCCCTTTCCTACACCAACCCTTTCCTACACCACCCTTTCCTACACCACCCTTTCCTACACCACCCCTTTCCTACACCAACCCTTCCCTACACCACCCCTTTCCTCCACCACCCTTTCCTACACCACCCTTTCCTACACCACCCCTTTCCTACACCAACCCTTTCCTACACCAACCCTTTCCTACACCACCCTTTCCTACCCCACCCTTTCCTACACCACCCCTTTCCTACACCACCCTTTCCTACACCCCCCCTTTCCTACACCAACCCTTTCCTACACCACCCCTTTCCTACTACACCAACCCTTTCCTACACCAACCCTTTCCTACACCAACCCTTTCCTACACCAACCCCTTTCATACACCACCCCTTTCATACACCACCCTTTCCTACACCAACCCTTTCCTACACCAACCCTTTCCTACACCACCCTTTCCTACACCACCCTTTCCTACACCACCCCTTTCCTACACCACCCTTTCCTACACCACCCCTTTCCTACACCACCCTTTCCTACACCACCCCTTTCCTACACCACCCTTCCCTACACCACCCCTTCCCTACACCACCCCTTTCCTACACCACCCCTTCCCTACACCACCCTTTCCTACACCACCCCTTTCCTACACCAACCCTTCCCTACACCACCCCTTTCCTACACCAACCCTTTCCTACACCACCCCTTTCCTACACCAACCCTTTCCTACACCACCCCTTTCCTCTACACCAACCCTTTCCTACACCAACCCTTTCCTACACCACCCTTTCCTACACCACCCTTTCCTACACCAACCCTTTCCTACACCAACCCTTTCCTACACCAACCCTTTCCTACACCACCCCTTTCCTACACCAACCCTTTCCTACACCAACCCTTTCCTACACCACCCCTTTCTTACACCACCCCTTTCCTACACCTTCCCTACACCAACCCTTTCCTACACCAACCCTTCCCTACACCAACCCTTTCCTACACCACCCTTTCCTACACCACCCCTTTCCTACACCACCCCTTTCCTACACCACCCCTTTCATACACCACCCCTTTCCTACACCACCCCTTTCCTACACCAACCCTTTCCTACACCAACCCTTTCCTACACCAACCCTTTCCTACACCAACCCTTTCCTACACCACCCCTTTCATACACCACCCCTTTCCTACACCACCCTTTCCTACACCAACCCTTTCCTACACCACCCTTTCCTACACCACCCTTTCCTACACCACCCCTTTCCTACACCACCCTTTCCTACACCACCCCTTTCCTACACCAACCCTTTCCTACACCACCCCTTTCCTACACCACCCCTTTCCTACACCAACCCTTCCCTACACCACCCTTTCCTACACCACCCCTTTCCTACACCAACCCTTCCCTACACCACCCCTTTCCTACACCAACCCTTTCCTACACCACCCCTTTCCTACACCAACCCTTTCCTACACCAACCCTTTCCTACACCAACCCTTTCCTACACCAACCCTTTCCTACACCAACCCTTTCCTACACCAACCCTTTCCTACACCAACCCTTCCCTACACCACCCCTTTCCTACACCAACCCTTTCCTACACCACCCCTTTCCTACACCAACCCTTCCCTACACCACCCCTTTCCTACACCACCCTTTCCTACACCACCCCTTTCCTACACCACCCCTTTCCTACACCACCCTTTCCCACACCACCCCTTTCCTACACCAACCCTTTCCTACACCAACCCTTTCCTACACCACCCCTTTCCTACACCAACCCTTTCCTACACCAACCCTTTCCTACACCACCCCTTTCCTACACCACCCTTTCCCACACCACCCCTTTCCTACACCAACCCTTTCCTACACCAACCCTTCCCTACACCACCCTTTCCTACACCACCCCTTTCCTGCACCACCCCTTTCCTACACCAACCCTCTCTTCCTGCCTGCTCATCATTCCCTCTTACACGTGTGTGGTCTCATTCACCCTGTGCTCCACTCCCTATCCCTATCCCTCACATGATCTAACTTACAAACCAGGACTCCTTCTCTTTCACATGCCCCAATCCTTCCACCATCCCCACCCAAATCACCTCCCTCAATAAATACACAGAAGTTGGCCAGGCGTGGCAGCTCACCCATGTAATCCCAGCACATTGGGAGGCAGAGGCAGGCAGATCACTTGAGGTCAGGAGCTCAAGACCAGCCTGGCCAACAAGGTGAAACCCTGTCTCTACTAAAAATACAAAAATTAGCTTGGCATGGTGGTGTGTTCCTGTAATCCCAGCTACTCAGAAGGCTGACATGAGAATCGTTTGAACCCAGGAGGTGGAGTTTGCAGTGAGCCAAGATCGCGCCACTTCACTTCAGCCTGGACAACAGAGCAAGAATGCATCTCAAAAAAATAAATTAAATAAATAAACAAATACACAGAAGTTATGCAGACAGGTGCACTATCATGAACAGATAACACATTAACATTTTAGGAAGGACACACTGGGAGTGAGTGTTCAGTGGCTGGAGCAAAGGAAGTCATGGAAATATGTCAGTAGAAATGTTCCAGTTTTGGAAACATGGCATCATGCATGAGATGAGATTTCCAAGACTAGGAATCAGATTTAGTTTTCTTAGGCATGCTGGGACTAAGCATCCTTTCATAACACCAGTGTTTGTGGTATTGGGAATCCCAGTGACCTCACACTGCAATCCTTCATTACCATCATGTGCAAAGCAGCTTCGAAGATGTCTCTGCTCTGAACTGCATTGTCTTCACAGAAAAGTGTGGGGAAGATCCCACTTCTGAGGCTGCAGGACACACAGAATGACCTTTCCTCTGCCATTCCCTGTACGGTGCCATTGGTTGCTTTAAACACATTTTTATTAGAATTGAAACTTTAAACATAGCCTTGCCAGTAGCTTCAAAAAGACACCAGCTAATCTACAAGCATATATGGCCCACCATTTTCTCAAATAGCAATGAGAGTAAAATAAATAGGGTAATATGGTTTATCATTGCCTCAAGCAATGTGCAGAATTGTTAATAGTAGTAACTCCTCTCCCAGAAGGAAAAGAAAAATTTAAAATATGTGAAGCAGCCTTAACAACAACAAAAAAAGCTAACAATATATTTGTGTTTGAACATCTACTAAATTCTTTCCCACTATTGCAGCCGGAAGCAATGCCACGCACAGCCAGATAATGTGGGCAGAGAGCACAGAGTCCAGGCATGGTTTAAATGCCGAGATAAGGGAACGTGAGTGCTTCTTTGCTTCAAATGTCCTAAATCAGCTTATTTTTCATTAGCAACAATCATCATACACACACACATTGACATTGAAGCTTCCATAATAGTGTTCTTACATTTTCAATCTGGTTAATTGAATGAGAAAACAAATTCTCCCACTAGACAGGTGCTCCAAAGTGAAATTTGTGTTTTCTGTGGGATGAGGAATGCTTTCAAATGGAACATTCTTGATTAAAGAGCCTGGACCATACAATTCATGTTGTGGGGAGGAAATGTGGCTTCAGAACATAATGAGAACTGGTTCGGTCTGCAGCCTTTCCCGTTCTCATTATGATCTTCACTATGAGAACAGATTCATATTATGGCATTTTCAACTCCTATTGTCAGCTTCTGACACAATATGAGGTATTAGGACAGTAACTGGGGTGATGCCCAGTAAGTTCTGGCCACAAATCCTACACCAATATTACGGTATGTTTCTGGAAAGAGAAATTATTGGACCTATTGGCAAATCCCACCAGTCACAGAGCGATAAACAGGGAAGACTGGAATACCAGCCAATCAGATCAACAGATAGGATTTTAAAACACCAAGAGCGTATCACTTTGCATCTTGGAAAACAGTGACTATTTAAATTCTGATCTTGTATTCTCTAACAAATGAGAACAATGAATGTTGCACCCCAGGACATGCTCAGGACCAAAGCACAGTTCAAATTCTGGAAGGACATCACCATGATCCTAAAGTGGGAGGAAAATCCTCCTCCCCAGTCCTCAGCAAGGACATCACCATGATCCTAAAGCGGGAAGAAAAGCCTCCTCCCCAGTCCTCAGCACTGGACGTAGCCAACAGCACACTGGAGTAGGTAGAAGGCAGCAAAATAGCTACTGAAGAGCCACACATGTTTTGGAAAGCAGGTGTATAGTTTGCAACAGTTTTCTTTCCAGAGATACGATTTCTTTTTTATATCAGAGTTTACAAATTTCAGACCCAGTGTTGACTTCACTTGTTATTAGCTTCTGTGTGCCTTTTCCTCATTCATAAGGTGAAGGTAACAGTACCTGCCTCGCATACCTAACAGAATCTTGGCAAGCATTAAATGAGATGGTATATATGCAAGCACTTCGATAAGTACAAAGTGTCTTTACAAACATGACACAGTCATTTAAAAATCATCCTTAAGTTAGGCATACACTGCAAAGTGAGGCCTTATTTGAGGATGTTGTTATAAAATTCATAACTGAGGCCTGCAATTTCAAGGCAAAGTGGTGACAGAAACCTGTGGTGTACAAAATCCCATCGAGGCAAGGGACAGGTATGGGACAGAAGGCTTCATGCACCCCTTCGGGCATGTCCTCTGCAAGCCTCCAGAGCAGGCCCAGAAGTCCTTCTTATGTGCTCTGTGATTTTTCCTTCCAACCGCTTCCCTGACGTGGTTGAAAGATGTGCACGCCAAGGAAGATAATGCAAATACTGCGATGTAGTCACTTTGCAAATGCTGGGATGTTGTCACTTGCCACGCCAGCCAGCACTGGCTCTGGGAAAATGAAAAAGCCTCTGACACATTGAAACTTAGCAGCAACATTCTAACTGGGTTGAGGACAATAGTCTTAATCCTCCCTAGAAAGATCAAATTAAATCAGCAGCAGGCTCTGCCTGACACAGCTCTGTGTCACTGAGTGTTCCGAGGAAAAACCTAGAGGAGTCTGCAGCTCTTGACTTTGTAACTCGTGTCTTTCTATAGATATTCAGTGAGCAGTGATAAGACATCCCTGCATAAGGATTAGCTCAAGACAGGGAAACGCTGTTAGAGGAGAGAGGTGGAGAACAGACACACATTTTGCCTGCCATTTAATTCAGCTAAAAGCCATCAAATTTCATGGCTAAACTTCAAACATGACTCAGTCGGAGATTTGATTTTCCTTCCCTTTTCAGCAAGGCAACACATCTGTATATTTCAGCCCAAGCAGCTATGTATTTTAGTGAGTGTATAGTAAAAGCAGATTCTATTAATCAGTAATAATTCAGAAATTAAGGCTGCATCCATTAAAAGTTCTACTTAATGGCAGTTAAAACTCGAGAGCAGTGGTTTGCAAACTTGACTGTGCATAAGAAACATCTGGAAAGCATAAAAAATGCAGATTCTAGGGGCCCACCTGCAGAGTCTCATTGAGTAGATCTGGAATGAAATCCCAGAAATTGCGTTTTTTAACAAGCACCCCAGGTGAAATGCATCCCACAGTCTTTCTATCTTAATGCGATTTTTATAATCCAAATTGCATTTAAATCTTTTGAAGAAAATGGAAGTAGGGAGACAATCCAAAATGCATCTTGACAGTTTTGTAGATAGTCTTTCTCTGGCTTTTAGAGATTTTAAATCAAAATTTTATGGCATATCAAGCCATAATATGAATGCTTTTTTTTTGAACCAAACAAATCAAACAAAGAAAAGATGTGTCCCCAGAAAATTATTCAGCTCCCCCAAAGCAAGCATCTTTTTAGGTGGGCTATTTCAAGGAGCTGAGTTTCATATGCTCGTGTTAACAATCTTAGCCACATTATTTAATTTAAGCATAAAGCTTTAAGTTTTTGCATTCAGAATGGAAGTGTAAAAGTCGTGCAACCAACTCAAGATGCTCACATATCCATGGCATGTTCAATCAACAGTGAAATATGACTTCAACTGTTCTGCAATATGAACCCCAATATTTGCCATCATAGTACCTACATTTTTTTTATTTTAAAAGTCTGAGACCCTAACTACTAACTTTACGTAATAGTAACATTAAGCGCAGCAAATCTAACTAGACCAATGGTATATAACTCTAGTCTGTATAGTAATTGCTCTTTTCAAATCAACTTCTTCTGGGTCTTGGGAGGAAATATTACATTGTATTCAACAACTTAGAAATCTGTGAGGTATTGTTTTGTTTTGTTTTGTTTTGTTTTTTGTACTTGAAATTGGGTTTTACTTTCTACAGTTTTTAAATTTTTTCTTTCTGCTTTTTCACTAGGCTTCATAGATCTCCCTTGCACATGTGCAATTTTGCTGTGAGCCAGAAATTTGCACAGTTCGTTCTTTGAATTTGGGTCTCATGCTTTCTGAGGTTGGCTTGTTGCCAAAACTTTCCTTTTAAATTTTTAGCTGCTTTTTAAGGTCTAAATTCTCATTTCTAGCACTTTTAATCAGGGACTTCATGTTTTTCTCCATTAATAAAAATTTTAATTTTCTACTGATACATAATGGATGTAGATATTTTGGTAGTACATGTGATAATTTAATGCATTCATATAATTTGTAAAAATGAAACTAATGTAATTGAGTATCCAACACCTTAAATATTTGTCTGTTTTTTATGCGAGAAACACCTGAATGATTATCTTCTAACTATTCTGAACTGTACAGTGGCTTGTTGTAAACTATGATTTCTGGGCGAGACCAGCTCCACAGCTACATGATCAGTGTGGCTGCAGAGACAGGCACTTGGTTTAATGCTCTACTTCCAAGTCCTAGGGTTCTTAATAATTTTTGAACAAGGTACCTCACATTTTCATCGAGCCTTGAAAATAGTGTATCCAGTTAGTTTCCTTAATAATATCGAGGTGTGATATTTAATGTTTCTTTCAGTAAACATTACCAGTGTGAATACACTGCTCGGTGTGGCCGTAATGCACTAACGCATTTGTCCTTTGTACCTATGCTATTGCCAACCACTGAACTAAAGAAGGGAATAAAGATGTAATCCTTGCCCCCAAAGCATTGCAAACATATTGGAGGAACTTTGTGTCTCTGTATCAGATGGCATGCATTAAATATTCCCCATGAATACTCTTCCTGAATGCATAGTCACAATTTTATATGAATTTATTCATGCACTAACAGACACATTGTACCCATTATTCTACATGCGTGGAGGTTGGGACGATGTCTAAAACTCAGGTCATATCAGGCATTTTGTATCATGGAAAAGAACAGAATGATTCACTATCTAGTTGATGATGGTGGAGTTGGGTGGACGTAGCTACAGCGGTTCACAGCGGCCCAAAGACCCTCTGGAAGTATTTCTCAGTAACACCAGGAGATGACCCTCAAGACACAAATAATTTTCTCTCCCTCCACTTGATACGGACACAGGTTTATCCATTAACAGGATTCCGGAGCTAACCAGAAGTACGTCTGATTTGGGTTTTACTCACACACGTGCTGGAAATCCATGCATGAGCTTTGTGAGAAAGGGCACAAAGGAAACCAGCCTGAAGTCTGCAGGGGCCACACAGTGCGAGCCAACAGCAGAGCTGACACAGATGCCAGAATGGTCAAAAAGGAACATTTACGAAGCAATTATTGCTATATCCCGCATCTTCAAAAGGTTAAGTAGAGGCATGGGAGATTAAAAAGGCCCAAACTGAACTTTTAGGGAAGAAAACTACAGTTTCCTAAGGTCAAAAAATACACAAAGTGGAAATTACAGCAGATTAGACATTGCAGGAAAAAAATTGTAAATTTGAAAGTGCATAGAAAAAATAATAGTTAAAAAAACTGAGAGCATTAGTGGGGCTAATCACAGAATGTGAGACTACTCCAAGTAGTCCAATATACATGGAATTAAAATCCTCAAAGATGGAAAAAGCAGAAGTATTAAACCCACAGATCCCAGAAGTTTAGCCCCAAGCACAAGAACCAAGAAGAAAACGACACCAAGACATGTGAAAACCAAATTGCCCAAACCAGAAATAAAAAGAAGATGCTGAAAGCCAGGAGACGTGGGAGAGGGGAAGTCATGTGTGTGTGTGTATATATATATATATATTTTTTTTTTTTTTTTTTTTTTTGAGGAGTCTTGCTCTGTCGCCAAGATGGGAGTGCAGTGGTGCAATCTCCTCTCACTGCAACCTCTGCCTCCCAGGTTGAAGCAATTCTCCTGCCTCAGCCTCCCAAGTAGCTAGCACTACAGGCACCTGCCACCACGCCCAGCTGATTTTTTTTTTTTTTTTTGTATTTTTAGTGGAGACGGGGTTTCATTATGTTGGACAGGCTAGTCTCGAGCTCCTGACCTTGTGATCTGCCCGCCTCGGCTTCCCAAAGTATTGGGATTACAGGTGGGAGCCACCGCACCTGCCTAGTCAGATTCTACACAGAGGAATGAAGATAAGGATGGCCGTCTAGCTCTCATCTCAAACAAGGGAAGGGAGGAGACAGAGGAGCAAAATCTCTCCAGGATTGAAAGGAAAAAAGTCAACCTAAAATTCTCTACCAGAGAAAATATCTTTCAAAGATCAAGGTAAAATCGAGTTTTTCAGACATATAAACGAAGAAATAATTCGTTACCAGCAGAACACACCACAAGAAATGTTGCAGATGGTGGATCCAGGAACACAGTTAGGACTGAATTGTCCTCAGGGATTATTGAACTAGTGTTTATCTTACTCCTAAACGAAGTGGTTCCAGTGGGCTGTTTTTCTTAATGTTTCAGTTTATGTTCCCAATGTTATAATTTTGTAGTTTTCACAAAACCACTAATAGCCTTTAGCCACCATTTCTCACACTTACCACTCTCCTTTTCTGTAACAGTCCCTCTTTTCTGTCCTAATTTGCTGCTTATAATCAGTGGCCCTAGAAACCAGATAAGAACATGTATTCGAAATGCGAATAAGTTAAAATAGCCCCATAAATTGTAATCCATAGATTTTGTGTGATATACTTAGTCACTCAGAAGCTTTTTCCCAGTCTATATTCTGAAAAATGTGATATAACAATTATTATAAGGAAAACTATTACATACTGAATGGCCACTGTGTGTTAGTCATTATTCTAAATATTTCATTTATTATTTGTAATCTTTTTCATGGACTCTAGATTCTACTTCCAGAGTATATAATGTGTATATAAAGAGACAGAATGATAAAGTGTTTTTTTTTTCTTTTTTTGTTTTTTGAGATGGAGTCTCACTCTGCCACCAGGCCGGAGTGTAGCGGCATGATCTCAGCTCACTGCAACCTCCACCTTCCTGGTTCAAGCGATTCTCCTGCCTCAACCTCCCAAGTAGCTGGGACTACAGGTGCACACCACCATGCCCAGCTAATTTTTGTATTTTTAGTAGAGACGGGGTTTTACCATGTTGGCCAGGATGGTCTTGATCTCTTGACCTCGCGATCCACCTGCGTCGGCCTCCCAAAGTGCTGGGATTACAGGAGTGAGCCACCATGCCCAGCTGGTAAAGTGTTTTAAAGTACCAGCTTTGAACACAGACATCTCTGGTTAAAAATCACGGCTGTGTTGCTCCCGAGAACTACACCTGTGAACAGGCTGCCCAGGCTCTGTTATTTACGTAGGCAATCCCAAGGCCAGTACATGACCCTGTGATTACTGGAAGCACAGTATACGACAGGGGATTCAAATGGTAAACTAAGGATGTTTAGAATTTATTTACCTAATGTCATAAAGTAAACACGGGAACACTAAAAATTACCACTGATTTAAAAGTTATCTCCCGACTGACTTGTCACTTTGATCTTATTTCACCAAATCATGAGGTCCAGGAAATAGAAAATTTCAAGTACATAAATCAGATTTCTCTGAGATACCTAGATTGATAATCGGCCTCTAATAATCTCCCAAGTATAGCAAGTGCCACACAGTTTCCTTAAGGAATCCCCAAAGTCAGCCAAGGAAATCAGAAAAGAAAATTGGGCCTAGCTGCATGATGGATGGATTGGATTCCACCTGCCACTCCAAAGCATGCTGCTGGAATATCTCCAGTGGCAGGGGCTTAGCAAGGAGCCATGACTCAAGTTCCACAACCAGCAGACATGCTGCTAAAATAACCCCTATTTAGGGCTGATCCTCAAGACAGTGAGAGGTGCACTGTGCAAGTTTGAAGGCACATTAATTTTATCAGTGTTCACTCAGCATTTTACTGGCAGCAGTCTGCAGGAATACCATGTCATTTTTGCTTTTCAGATGTGTATTGAATTTGCAGAAGTCCTCTTTTC
The DNA here is from genome assembly GCF_000001405.40 of Homo sapiens. NCBI lineage: Eukaryota > Metazoa > Chordata > Mammalia > Primates > Hominidae > Homo > Homo sapiens. The sequence goes on from NT_187679.1 coordinate 214,127, forward strand.
CAAATGATCAATGAATTTCAACACCAGAGTCTTGGAGTCAGACAAGGAAACTTTCAGTACATAGGTAGACCTAACCCTTTGTTTGATTTCATTTGGGCCTGAAATTAATATTGCTCTCATCACTGACACTGCAGTTCATGGAGTAATTTACACTCTGTGGGGTTATAATGACATCCCTTTCAGTGCAGCATCTCTGAAAGCTAAAAATGAAGAAGAGTGAAATATCTCTGAATACAAGCCAAAGAGTTACTCATTTCAATGTGTGTTGGGAGGATTTGTAATGGACTGAAGGCCAGGGACCAAGTCAACCCAAGAGGCCATTTCCTAACACCTCATACTGACTACTCATCATCTTATACCGATTCCCACATCTGTCTTGTACCTTCCTTTTTCTCTTCTTCTGTCTTTGTGTTTTTCTCTATTGATCTGTTATCACGCTCTATTCTTTTTTCTCTCTCCTTTTCTCTTTTCTTCCATTTCTTTGGCCCTTAGCACTTCTTTTTTTCTATCCTTCATTCTTTTTACTACTTTTCACATAATATAGAATTAAGTCCAGATGTTGTATTCACCATGTTTTAGTGTCCTACTCTTCTGAAAATTGGAGCAAACGAAAAGGTTTGCCCATGTCTGAAAAATTAAGCAGTTTTTCATGTGGCCTATGATGCTTTTCTTTACAGTCAATGGGCACTTTATGAGGAAGCACAAATACAAAGCTGCTTTTCATTCAGGGCCCCCAGAAAGTCAAGACTAGTTGTATTAGTCCATTCTCATGCTGCTAATAAACACATACTAGAGACAGGGTAATTTAGAAAGAAAAGAGATTTAATTGACTCATAGTTCCTCAGGACTGGGGAGGATTCCGGAAACTTACTATCATGACAAAAGGGGAAGCAAACACTTCCTTCTTCACATGGTGGCAGGAAGGGGAAGTGCTGAGCAAAAGGGGAAAAGCCCCTTACGAAACCATCAGATCTCAGAAAACGTACTCACTATCACAAGAAGAGTAGCATGGGGGTGACCACACCCACGATTCGATTACCTCCCACCAGGTCACTTCCACAACACCTGGGGATTGTGGGAACTACAATTCAAGATGAGATTTGGATGGGGACACAGAGCCAAACCATATCACTAATCTTAGTCTCAATTTTCCCATCATCAGAATACTGTCAGCACTTACTCTAATACCCCATGCGTTCATGTCCCTTTTGTAATTCACTCTTTCTAAAGAACATTCTTCTCTTTGGCTACACAGCCTATCTTTCCATCTTTTTTTTTTTAAGTATAACTTATGTAAAAACTTTAAGGCTTCTGTGTCTTTTCTACATTTTCACTGGCTCTCTAAGGGGTCATCTCAGGTGCCAATGAAGGCAGTCTTCAGTGTGGATTCCTTTCAAGGATGTGAAAATTATCTCTTCAAAATACATTAGGCAATGTCTGCCTACTTTGGATTTTGTGACGGCTTGAAACAATGCAGTCCACATTTTAACTGACAAGTTTAGAGGTGTCAGTGGTATTTGAGCTTTCTGTGCCTCAAAAACTCACCATCTCACACTGTTCATTGTCACCAGATCTAATTGTGTCTCAGGTGACTTCATAATGTTCTCAAGGCCAGGTGCTGAGGCAGGAGGAAAGGACACACCCCAGAGGCAGGACTGTGAGTTTGAAGTCACCGCCAGCGTCTGCCCATTGCACTGTGCCCAGGACTCCTGTTTCCATGGCCTGGGCTGGACCATGCTGTAGCCCTGGGCGCTGCCTGCACCTGAGAATTACCCAAAGCACCTGCAAAATGTGTGAATCCCTTGCCCTTAGCCTAAGGAATTTCAATTTATAAATTATTTCTGCCTGTGGGTCTCAAACATGGATAATTTTAAAATCTTCTTAAGAAATGCTGATGTGCAACCAGGGTTAAGGACCACAGAGCGAGAATGCCCAGAAGGCTTGGCGGAACTCGGATCCTTGGGCCCTGGGTTAAGGACCACAGAGCAAGAATGCCCAGAAGGCTTGGCGGAACTCAGATCCCTGGACCCTGGGTTAAGGGCCACTGAGGGAGAATGCCCAGAAGGCTTGGCGGAACTCAGATCCCTGGACTCTGGACCATCATAGCAGTCACAGATCCAGGATGAGGCCACAGATGAATCCCCAGCTGAGGTGATGCTGCTGGCCTGGGACCACACGTCGAGGACCACTCAGCTAGAAGATGCTTAGCACTTCTCTGCCTCTTTTTAAAATTCCTTCTTCTGGGAAGAGAGACTGATCTTACCACTGAGTGTGGGAGAAGAAACAGCATGATTAGCAGAATGCCATCCCCTCTCTCTTTTCAAATGTGTGAGCCTGGAGAGAGTTCTCTTCAGTGTGTGAGCCTGGAGAGAGTTCTCTTCAATGTGTGAGCCTGGAGAGAGTTCTTTTCAATGTGTGAGCCTGGAGAGAGGATGCTTTTTTATCCACTGTGAGGATGGCTTTTCAGGGCAAGCTCTGTCTGCATGTGCAGGGGTACAACCTCCAATTTTGTTCTGTTTTCTTTGTTTTGTTTTGCTTTGCTCTTCTTTGCTTTGAGAAGCCTTAGCATAGACCTAGGGGAAGTGTTAGACCATAGAGCTAAAGTCATCTTCTTTGGCATGATTAGAATTTTCAAAATACATAACAAATATTTTAAAATTTTGATCTCCATTTATCTGTCTTCTGGGTCCTCTCTCAATATATTGTGAATGCAAGATGGAAAAAATTAGTGTTACATGTCAGCTTTCTAAAACCCCAACATAATCCTATCTCTTTTCAAATGGTTTCACTTCTTGGCCCTTTGAAAGCAATATAAACAATTTTACTGACTTAGTAAGCAGGGCTCTAAGAACTGAAGAGAAAACACGCCAATGCTGGATGGCATCAATTCTTTGAAAGAGGAAGGAGACAAATAGACATGACACATCCACAATAAACAGTCGTTAAAATGTATGGGAATGCTCCGTGCTGCGCCTCTCTGCAGGCTTTCACCTTATTTAGCTCCAATTTTCTAAGACTACTACAAGAAAATGTACAAGAGAAGCCCCCTGGACACTAGCTAGTAAGAGCACCAAATCACACATATTTATGGAACCCTAGTTAATAATAATAATAGTTGTCTCTTCAAACCCCTGCTGTGAGCCATGTATTGTCTTAACCACCTTCTGCCCTGTATCATTCTACTAAAGCACCTGCATAAGTAGGTATTACTTAGTAAGGAAACTGGGGCATAGCTAGCTGGATTAATACCTGGCAAGAAATAGGAAGTGAAGATGGGATTTGCTCCTTGTGTGTCTGGGTGGAAAGCAAAGGTTCTTTCCGCAGTGCACTGTGTACATAAACTTGCAGCCAAACACCGTTATAAAGGCTGTGAAAGATGCAGAGAAATGCAACACTTCTTATTAGTTTCCTAATCTCAAAATGCAGGTAGCCTAGTTAAGGAGATAAAATTACATATAAGAAAAATTAAGTAACAACACAAGATCTGAAGATTAATATAGTATCTTTGACTCCAATCTAAACATATTCCAAAAATGGTGAAATGATTGGGAGAATTCCAAATGCAAACAATTGGAGTACTATAAAATGTGGTTGATCCCACAGAATCCAGTCTGCTTCAGGAAATACTTTTTCTAATTGGAGCCTCTGAGAGACTAAATCCATTCTGCGAAGTGTATTCTAGCTCTTCCATAGTCTCCCAATGACTCTTGCCTCAGAAAGCTCTGTTAATTTGGTTGATCGCTTCTGGTTTTTCTCTATATTTCATATATTGATCAAATTTTGTAATACAATCTTCAGATCCACACTACCCAAAAGAAAAACATGCTTCCTGCTATCATTTTGTTTATTTCCCTCTAAATAAGTAGGAGCATGGTACTTTGATCGATAAGAATGAAAAAAATTATTAGGGAACTTGCCATCATATTCCAGGAGAAATGGAGTATGGCATGCACCCAGCACTGACCTTCAATCAGAATTAAAGCACGTCAGAGAAAAGGAATTGTATAGAATTGCTGGGATCAAATGTAACGCAAAATCATCGGAACTATAATAGGATCACGAAGCAGAATCACCACTGAAGTCCATCTCATGATTCAGCAGCAGGAGCAGGGGAGCACAGCAGAAAGAAGCATGGGTGAAGGGATCCGAGAGTCAATCCTACCTGGCAAATAGGAGTGTGATCCTGGCATCCAGTTTGTATCTCAGAGTCTTTGTTCCCAGGTAGAACTGGGAGACTGAGCTAGATCAGGGGTTCTTAGAAAACAGTTGAGGGGGATCATGAACTTAATGAAAGAATGAATCTTTATTTCCTATAATCTTTAACTAAAATGTATAGCACTTCCTCCAATTATGAATGTAAGTCATAAACCACAATACTACTAACCATACATGTTATATTGTTCCAATACAAATTACAGATATTTTCACATTAGTATAATTTTTAGTTATCTCAGAATATCATTTATGATCACTAGCTCTTCAAATTTACAAAGATCATCTCAGTCACAGCTGTTTCCCTTTACTTAATGCATTGGGAAAGAAGCACATGCATGACTGTATCAAAACATCCTTAAAAAGTATTGATTAGTGTTTGAGCATAATTGGCTTCCTCTATAATCACACGTGTGCTAGCTGACGCTTTCTGAAATGTTTTTCTTAGATGTGACTTTATCAGACTGCCTATATGGTCCCCTTAGACAGTGCCTAAGGGCCATTTCCTTGAACATGGTGGAATTCTCAGCCTCCTGTCTCAGAAGCAGAGATGCCTAACTGGCTGGGATGCATTTCAAGGATAAGCAAAAGCAGGAGACTGGAGTAACTGCCGAATGGTGGGAGGTGACAACTGGAAACAACAGTGGTATTAAATTGATCCAAATGCAGCCTCAGGGCATGTTAGTAACTAGGAAATACTAAGAGGGAACAGAGTAAGATGGAACAACTCAGATCATCAGTAAGAAATGCCTGGCCAGGGCCAGGTGTGGTGGCTCATGCCTGTAATCCCAGCACTTTGGGACGTCGAGGCATGCGGATCATTTGAGGTCAGGAGTTCAAGACCAGCCTGGCCAATATGGTCAAACTCCATCTCTACTAAACATACAAAAGTTGAACCCGGGAGGCAGAGGTTGCAGTGAGCTGAGATCATGCCACTGCACTCCAGCCTGGGCCACAGAATGAGACTCCATCTCAAAAACAAAAAAGAAAGAAAAAAAGAAAACAAAAAGAGAAATGCTCGGCCAGCAAATGCACTAGGCAGCCAGACCGATACAGGTTCCAGAGCAGCCTACTCTGTCAAAAAGTACAACAGTGTGGTACTCCCAGCACTCATTGACAATCATTTCCTCACATGGGCTGTTAAGTAATAGAAAGTAACAGGTGAAAAAGCACAAGAAATGCTATGGTTACACAGATTACAACTTTGGTGGAAGCGTATGTATGATGAGAACTAGAACTGCACGCTCGGTTATGTTAAATCCGTGGCCATTGTCTAAGTGCTTATGGTAAAACCACAGTGTGCTAGAGGTATGAGCCTACTGAAATGAGACGTGTGAACTTCTCAGAAAATCTATCCCAGCTTCTGCTGGCAAAGAAAACAACTAAAAGAGTCATCTACAAAGAGATGCATGAGTTAGCTGAGGTGGCTCCTAGCAGTGAGACAGAGGTGTAGAAGGGAATGTGTGAGTGGTGTCTCCAGCATCAAGGTGTTAGGTGAAAGTGCAGAGATTCTGAATCAGGGGATCTGGAGAATCAGGGGATCTGGAATGGGATCTTCAAAACCTGCATTCACTGGGCACCCCAGGCATATTAGGATGCAGGGGATCTGCAAACCACTTTGAAAGAAACCAGCTGCGGCTCCTGGCTGAGGTATTTTGAGTCTGAAAAGCAAAGCAAAACACCATCGTTGTGAGCCCCTACATACTACAGCTCAGCCCCAGCAGGTGCAGGACGCTGTATGTGGGTAAAAGACTAGTTATGTGTTCAAAATACAGTGATGAAGAGGCCAATGAGAAGGTGGTTGTAAATGAAGAGATAAAGAGCATGGTGCAATAAAGGGTGATAGGATCCTCTCTCAGCCATCACACAATTTGCTTTCTTCAGCCAGCTCCGTCAAAAGTATCCCCTATTAGAAACTCTGTCCCCTTAGAGAGTAGTTTGTTGAAGGTTTCTAACAGAAAAAGACAAGCCTCGGACACTAGCAGTCCTGCAGGAAACAGTTGTATTCAAAGCAGACATGAAAACCCTGTATCGTGTGATGCACTGCCAATGCAACAGCACCTTCAAGCACTAACTTCGATAGACCCTCAGCCTCTGGGATGACCTGGCATTTCCCTCTAGCTACGTGAACTTGCTGAGGGCCCACTTTAACAATTTAGTAACTCCTTTTGGCATGGTGCACTGGCCCAATGGACTAAGTGTCCTATTGAAGAATGCAATAGAAGCAGACAGCGAGATTGGCCTCAACAGAGTTGCAGAAAGCCCTGTCTCAGCCTGGTCATGAATTCAGGTCAACCAGTGCCACTTTTATGAAAAGAACTGTAGAAGGGAAATCCCTGGAAACAAATACACTGACAAATCAGTCCATTGTGTGACTTCTTCAGAACAAAACCTGCACTTGGAACTCAGAGAAAGGAGAAAATCACAGCCTTTCATGTAAATTATATCTGAGAAATAAAACCTTCGAATTTGAAAAAAGGCTCACTAGATAATACCACTTGGAGGATACCAGGAATTAGTATTTTTTTGACCACATAAGTGCCAAGCTTCGAGCTAGGTGCTTTGTATCCAACATCTCATCTGTTGGTAACACTACCAACAATTCAGCTCAAAGAATCACACTGTCAGAGCTGGAAGGGTCCTCAGAGATCATCAAGTCCAAACTGTTCATTTGCATGTGAAAAACCTGAGACCATGGCAGGACACAGTGGCTCACACCTGTAATCCCAGCACTTTGGGAGGCCAGGAGGGCGGATCATGAGGTCAGGAGTTCAAGACCAGCCTGACCAATGTGGTGAAACCCCATCTTTCCTAAAAACACAAAAATTAGCTGGGCATCCCAGCTACTCAGGAGGCTGAGGCAGGAGAATCTTTTGAACCCGGGAGGCAGATGTTGCAGTGAGCCGAGATCGTGTCACAGCACTCCAGCCTGGTGAAAGAGCAAGACTCCATCTCAAAAAAAAAAAAAGGAAAAACCTGAGACCAAGAGAAGATAAGTAGCAGAACAGAACCCAATGTCTTCTTGTGCTTCTCTGACTTAACGTCTTTCCAATGCACCATGCAGCCTCCCACATGAGCAATCAGATATGTACGTCACTAGACCCTAAGAAAGTAAGCTCTTCATTAAGCTCTTTAAAGTTAAAATGCATTTGTGGATATAAGCCTCAGTCCAGAAATTAATGTGAATAAGTTGTGTTTCTTATTTTTTTAAAATAATTAGCTTGTGATTCTATTGGAATAAAGAAAAATCAATGTCAGTATTTCCTCCCTACCTTTCTAGAAGTTGTATCTAAGTTCCAGGGCACCATGGTTTGGGGGAGCACCTGGTCCTAGATGTCATCTGTTCACTTCAGCATCCAATGAGATGCTGCCATCCTCTTGGGGTGCTCCCTCATCCACACACACACACGCCACCTATGCTCACACACTTCTGTACATGTGTTCTCTTTCTGGTTGGTGGATCTCTTGACTGCTTCTATACCATAGATGGAGACACAGGATCTGGCCTTACATTTCTGTGTCACCCAACATTATGGGAGACTTCATGACTGTTTCTATGGCATTTATGCCCAGGCTCTCTGCAGCCCTCTCCCTCCACCTCCTCACCACTCTTTCCAGACAGAGGTCATCTCTGCTCTCAGATCTCACAAAGCTTTCTCAGGATTTGCAGAAAACCCAGAGCTGTGGCTGATAGACAAAAAGCAGGCCTTTCCTCTCTAGGAACCCCTACCTAACACTAGCGTGCCCTGCTCCACACAGAGGGGCTCTTCCAGTCTTGGAAATGGGAGAGAAGGAACCCTTTTCTTCTCTTTGCTTCCTGGAGTCCTCTTCTGATTCCCTAACAGCATTGATGTTTATAATAAACTCAAGGAAGCCGGACTTTTCTAGATTTTCCACACTGTCATATCTTGCCACTGAAGCAAGGAACACAGAATGGTCCACAGGCTTGGATTCCGCAGGCTTGGATTAGGCGGGAGCAGAAGGGCTACAAATAAATGATTCCATGTACTTACTTCTGCTGTGGTTTATCACAAAGACCAAAGCCAATGGAAAATGAGGAGAGAGCAACAGAGATCCCTTGGGGAGGGGGGCAATTTGAAATGTATCAGGCTATAAGAAATGGTGCTTTTAAAAACATATTGAATAATATGATGGAGAGAAAGATTTTCTTGTTTTTGTTTTTGTTTTTGTTTGAGACAGAGTCTGGCTCTGTCTCCCAGGCTGGAGTGCAGTGACGCAATCTCGGCTCACTGCAACCTCGGCCTCCTGGGTTCAAGCGATTATCCTGCCTCAGCCTCCCAAGTAGCTGGGATTACAGGTGCCCGCCACCGTGCCTGGCTAATTTTTGTATTTTTAGCAGAGACGGGGTTTTGCCATGTTGGCCAGGCTGGTCTCAAACTCCTGACCTCAGGTGATCTGCCTGTGTCGCCCTCCCAAAATGCTGGGATTATAGGTGTGAGGAACTGTGCCCGGCCAAGATTTTAAACAAATATAAGCAGCTTACCTTTAATATCAGAGAATCATTTTATTTCTCCTTCTTCTTTGCTGACCTTCCACACCTCATTCCTGTGTCTGGTGTGCCTTCCCTGCAGGCTTAGCCATTCCTGCCAGCTCAACCTTTGAAAAGCCCAAGCTGAGCGGGAAGCACCTCAGTATTGATCTGCCCAGTTATGGCCTATGGAGGCGCTGGAGGTCCTGTTAGAACAGGACGGGCTATCACTTAATTTAACTCTTACTCAATCTACAAGAGGGTTACATTCTCAACAACTGGAAAATATTATGAACAGACTTCTGAATCCTGTGGTTTATCTGAGAATTATTACAATTATTTTAAATAAATTTAAATTTTCCATTTGTTGCCATAACAGCATTTAGAGACCTGCTAGTTTTGGGGTGTTTACTAGATCTTTGTTGATAAGCTTAATGATGAAGGGGAGCATTAGGGCTTTCTGATGATGCTTTCTAGAAATTTTCGACACACTTTAAAATATGACATTCATTTCTGCCTGAAGACCAAAGTAGGTTTTGCAGAGGCAAATTGAGAGCATGTTTAAAAGATTCATCTTGTGCCTAGGTTTAACATCCTCCCAGGATGTCAACTGGAAGATCATGCCGTTCCTGACAATTAGAAGGTAATAACGAATTTTCAACCAACTCCACATTCATCCTGACACATCCCTTTGGCACATTTTTAAGGTGAAACGTGTGACTCCATAACGTTTTCTTTTTAGGCAAGGGCTTCTGTGGTGGTAATCATGACCTAAAGAGCCCGATTCTGCAGTCTTCAGAGAGCCAGGATTCCTGCCCAAAGTTAGACAGGCAGCATTTGAAGCAAAGTTTACTTCTTCTGACTATTCGTTTTTTATTTATTACAGCAGATTTATCATGTGCTAGATAATTTCACATTCATGGCTTTTCTAGTGCTCAATTTATCAAGGACAGTGGTGCCACATACTCTTGTATTTTATCACAAGTACCATCAGGATAAGAGAGACAGGTTCTCTGCTGCAGTGACTGCCACGAAATCATAATTCATAATGATAGATGCGTCTTCCCTGGGTTCGATTTTTAATGTTTCCCTTTTTTGGAATGTTTACATAACAGAAAAAAGAGGGAATTATATATGAGTCACATTCCTATCACTCATGTGTTCTTTACTGAGAGAATGAAACTAGATACCTGAAAAATAATCAGTGATTTCAACTACTCACTTAGGACATTTTTTATAAAGTTGCCCACTTTTTCATTATCAAAGACAGGAAAAATGAAAAGAAACTGAAGTGGTCTGAAACCATGACTTTCATTTTCCTTAAGTTTAGAGAGTGAGGTGGCTGGAGATACAGCACGTTGATTATCTGTGACACAATCAGTCAGAAGCAGGACCACATGAATTCTCCATCATCAAACAAAATGACTGGCTTTCTGTGTGATTCTTCACACTGTGAATGCAGCTACTAATAACACTGATTTTACTTCAGGCAAGAGAAACAGAGCCTCTCATTTTCCTTTGAGAATAATGATTGTTTCTTAATACTTTTCTTTTTCCCCATTCCTTACAGAGGAGTTCCCTGCTCAAGGGAAGCACATGGTAGGGTTAATGCTACATGGAACATGAACTTTGAAGATCCTCATTTTGGTTTCCATGAAGGTGGTGAAGGTTCTCCAAATAAAAGCATTTCCAATAAGGGTGAAGAGTAGAGAGCAGTGATGTTTCCAAAAAGTTTAGAATTCCTCCTTCAAATGACTTCCTAATGAATATCAGAAGGCAATGTGTGGAGTCACAAGTCATTGGAATGGCAGCCACTGTGTAATTTCAACAAAACGCTTCATCCCTCTGAGCCTCTGGTGGCTCATCTGTAAATTAAGGCAAATTCTATCTTCAAATTTCTTCACTCTTTGATCAACAACTTTTATTCAACTTTGTTGAAAAGATCAAAAAAATTGCATCTCTGGTTGAATTTGGTGGCTCTTTTTCTGGTTAATATAAAACGTGACTGTCAGAATCCCATCTCTAAATCTTTGTCAAATTTGTGTGGCCTCCTTTGTGTGCAGTTTACTAGTACAGCCCCATAATACTGGATAAGATTTTCCCGAAACTTCTGTGGTTTAAATGAGATGGTGGTTGCCTGCACTCAGACTGGTAAATGGGTTAGTCCCGAGAACACTTACAGAAGCACCTTGCCTTGTTATTTGGCTTTAGCATTGTATTAAAAAGTTAGTAGATATTTGTAAGCATTCTAGAGATCATTTATTACCTACTCACTCTTTAAGTTAAATTCTTGTCTATGTAACAGTGACCTAAATTGTTCATTGAAAGTAATTTCAGTCCTGAGGTAAAAATAATCTTATTACCATCTTAATTACAATAATAAGGGCTCAATGACTTTAGGATCATCCAATAAGCCATACGTTTATAAAACAAAAAGAGCTCAACAGATGACATTAAGGTAGGAAACAGCCTTTCAATAGGAGAAGAAACACCCGATCTGGAGCAATCCAATGCTTGTAGGCACCTTAGTGAACACATTCGACCAACTCAATGCAGAAATTGCTGTTTGCAACATGGCCCCAAAATATGCTTTGCATAGGGGAATGCTGACTTTACATAATATCCACTAAATAAATGTTAGCTCTCACAGTACAATTTTCATTACACAGCCTGAGGCTCTGTTTTCCTGCTGGAGAAATTTCTACCACTGACATAGATTTGTAAATACTTCTAGTTCTTGTTTCTTGTCTGTTCTGCCTCAAGAAGAACTTACTTGTGAGAAAGATACTCAATTCTACTTCCTCACAAACACTTTAAATGAGGTGCATTGTTCTGGATTTTGTAGTGGTGGTGGTTGTTTCAGTTTAGTTTTTATTATTTCTTGTCATTTTTTGACAAGCATACTAGCCACTTAATACCAAAGCCATTTTTTTCTTAGGCCCTTTGATGTTTCCCGCTGAAAGATTCTTTCCATTTAAAATCAAAAACCGTTAAAAGTTGTATGCTAGGTAGCTTGGTACCTGCATGTTGGAAGTACGTCCCTGCTGCTCCTCTAAGTTTTCTCTCTGTAGGCTGTTAAGGAGTGAAGGCCTGATAAAGCATGTGTATGCATGCATGGATATAGATATGCATGGGTGTACAGCTGTCATCTATAAGTGCATATCTCTACACGCAGGATGTCAATTCAAATGTTAGAGGCAGGTCACAGTGGCTCATGCCTGTAACCCCAGCAATTTGTGAGGCTGAGGTGAGAGAATCCCTTATGCAGGAGTTCAAGACCAGCCTGGGCAACATAGTAATAGTAAGACCTTGTCTCTACAAGAAATAAAAAATAAAAAATTTAGGCTGGTACAGTGGTGTGCACCTGCAGTCCTAGTGACTTGGGAGGCTGAGGAGGGAGGATCGCTTGAGCCCAAAAGTTGGAGGTTACAGCGAGCTATGATAATGCCAGTGCACTCTAGCCTGGGCAACAGAGCTAGATCTTGTCTTAAAAAAAAATTAAAAAGTGTTATTGTCTAAGAGATGGGATGAGATCATATATTCTTTTTATCATTAAAAACTTTTGTTTTCTAAATTTCCTATGAGGAATATTTATTTCTTTATAAACAGTATAAACAACTAGCTTTAAAAAATAGTGTGTCTAGCCTATGAAGAAAGAACAAGTAATAATCTTCATTCTACAGCAATGGTAATTTCCCCAAGATCATTAACTCTTCCAAACCTGTTTTCCCTGGATCTCAAATTGGAGCCTAGAGAAGGCATTTTTGCTAAAGGTTAGTTTGCCACAAGGGCTCAGATCAATGAAATTTTTCTCAGCTTGAGTTTGGCTGAAAGGCCGGTTTTGGGGGTGTGTGGGTTGGTGAGAGGGCAAAGTCTTAGTCTATACTTATAAATAAATATATATATATTTACATAAATACATTACACACATATATATTAACAAATATATATTATTTCTGTACAATATTTTACATATATATGTAACTTGATAAACTTTTGGTATGCATGGGAGTGGGTTACCTAAAAGCATATTATACAGAATTGTTCTCTATTAACATTGGAGTATTCCTTCTACCAGTGTGAGGTCATACTGTGCACACTGCTTTAGAGTCTCTCCTTTGTACTGTGAACACTTCCAATGACATCAAATATTTGTATAAATAACAATTCTAAAGTTGCCTAACAGATATATCAAATTACTTATTGCATCCTTAGGTTTAATCTTTTATAACATTTCCAATTTTCTCCATTACAAATAGGACCACCATGAGCACCTTACATGAATATGCTTTTGTAAATATCAAAGAGATTTCCCCTAAGATCAGTCTCTGAAGTGGCACTGGTGATGAAAGGATGTGAACATGGGATTGGAATGTACAGGCCGATGTTGGGTTTCAGTTTCTCACTAATGCTAAGCCCTGAGACATTCCTCTAACACAGCAGAGTTATTTAGAGTCAGGCAGACCTGGGTTCAAATCCCAGTTCCAACTCCCTAGCTTGATGGCCTTTATACAACGTGGTCTCTAAACTTTAGTTCCTTCATATGGAAAATGGGGTAACGACCACCTTTCACGGCTGTTGTGGGAACTACATGAGACCATGTGCAGAAGCTTCTGAGCACAGTTCCTTCACTATACCTCAAGAGTCAAGAGCTATTTCACCAAGAATTTGCTTGAGGTGAAGGCTATAAATCTAAATGATTCAAATGTTTAAAGTTGGGGTTCTTTCCTGACATTTTAGTAAAACTTACCACATGTGAGTACATGTCTTCCAGGAGTAGAACAGCTCACTTTGACCTGAGAGATTGTTAATGAGGTATTCAGGCTCTGTAGTTACAAGCATAATCTTCGGTGTGGTCAATGGAATGACTGACTCCAATTCATCCTGCCTTCCTCATCCTGACTCAGATTACCTATGGGTGAACGCACCTCCTCCCTCACTGACTCTGAGCTTAGCCTTCTGACTTGCTTTGGGCAATGACCCATGAGCAGACTTCCAGTACACCGTGTCCAACCAGTGGCTCCCAAAGAGCTCATCAGGTGCAGCTTGCCTTCCATGCCATGAGAGGAACATGCCCCTGGGCCTGCTCTCCAACCTGGGTCTGGAAATGAAAGGCACATGGAAGAGTCCTAAGTCAACCACAGGCAGCCCGCACAGCAACCCGGGAGAACAGAACATTTGTTATTGTAAGTCACAAGATGCGGAGCCCTGGCAGGCTGACACCCTGGCTGTTAAATTCCACCCACAGAGGCATGCTGGACCGCAGAACAGAACAGAGACAGCGAAGGAAAGGAAAATGCCTTTGGAGGGGGCGTATTTGTCCAGAGACATTTACTAAAACTAGGTCCACTACAATGCCCCAGCCCTTCTTTCCCCATAATAAAGGCATGACACCACAGGGTGCTAGCCAGGACAATATACTTGAGAATCTAGAGCCAAGGTGGACAGGCTGGTAATGGAAGTCTGCCTTGTCACTGCGGTTATTTCTCTCCAGGGGTGATTTACAAGGTGATAAAAGACCTCAAGATGCCAAAGGTACTTAGGCTGTTAAAAACCAGCCTTTTATGATCCCTTGTTCCTTATAGTACATGTTTTTTCATTAATCAAATGCTTATTCTATTAGAAGTCCCAAACCTTTAAGATGGTGGGACATTTCATTTTTATTGTCCTGAAGTGGCATTAAAATCCACATGGTCCTCAGCAGGCCACTGGTGAATTCCTCATGTTCGAACTCGTTCCACCCTCTGTCTTCTCTGATCCTATCTATTTTGTATTACTCTTTTAGAAGAATTTTTTTCTTTCTGTGTTCATGCTGGGATAGATGCTGAACTGTTAGCCAAAAGCCTTCTTTTTCTTCCCCTGCCTGTATTTGAAGTCTGGAGCCAGTCGCTGATGTCATTCTCAAGCCCATGTTTTTGCACTGTGGACCTCATCTCTTCTGGCCTCTTCTGCTGGCTGTCTTACCATCAGTGGGCAAAATTCCATGTTCCCATTTGGTTAGCCCAGAGCAAAGCCTGTCCTTGTCCTCTCCCTTGTCAATGGTGGGTTTCATCAAGGAATCTCTTACTGTATATTTTAATGACCAAAATGATGAAAATTTGTCATTTAGATTGATATTTTCTAGTTTTTAAGACTATTCAGAGTAAATTAATGATTATTTGTAAATATCAATAGTACAATTTGTAATCATTATATAACAGCATCTCGAATCAAGTTTTATAAATAAATGGAGTATGTATTCAGTAGATAGACAAACGGATAGAGCACAGATCAACTAATAGAGATAACATTGCCATTAAATTATAACTCATAAATGCTTTTAGAAAAAGCTTCCAGACAACTGCCATCTCTACCTTATTAATGCCTAGCCTGTAAAAGCAAGGAATTAAAGAATTTCTCAAGAAATGGCAGACTCCAGGTCTGTTTTTAGAAGTAAAGTTTTCTTAGAGCCCAGCCACATCTATTCGATTATGTGTTTGTCTGTGGCTGCTTTCACAACACAAAAGCAGAGTGAAGTAGTTGCAACGACTTAACTATATGGCCTTCAAAGCCAAAAATGTGAGCAATAAATTATTTTTTAATTTTTCTACTGTTATTTTTATGTGTAGGAAATGGTCTGCTTTGCTTAAAACTTGAGGCTCCTCTACTCACTGATCATATCTTTAATTAGCTCACTTTTCCCAAAATGTTTTTCCATCTTTTGTTTTTTATGCTTTCTTATCCTGCCTAAGCCACACCCTATCTGTTTTTCTGAACAAACTTAAGCCCTACTTGCTGGATGACAGCTGTAACCAACGGTGTGACTTCCTTTCAAATCTCTAACTGTGCTTCACTGTCTGTCCCATGCACGTGGGCTCTTGACTCCTCACTAAGTATTTGCACAGCACCTACTGAGTACTGAGCCTTATTCTAGATCCTAGGAATACGAAAGCAAGCATCTAGATGTGAGCCCTGCCCTCAGTGGGTGGACGTTTGTTGGAGGAAGAGGCACAACCACGTCACCACAAGGTAGTGAATTCCAGATATTACAAAAGAGGAGTTGCTATGGAGGAACCAACAGCAGGGACATCTTCCCTCTTTGAGGAAATCAGATCTGCCCTCAGGGAGAAGTAGAAACTGAAGAATGAGGAGCAGTTAGCTGATGAATGAAAGAAGTAGGGGCTGGGGGTGCTGTGGGGAGGGCTGGACGAGGAAGGGGAGGTTGGTAGCATAGGAGAGGAGCATATTTCAAGGACACGATATGGGAGGGAGTATGGCATGTTTGAGAAGCTAAGTGATAGGTTACAGTGAGTGTCACGATCTTGGGGACAGAGTGCGAAACAGTTTACGGAAGGCTATGCAATCCTTGTGGTTTTCATCTCTGGAGTACGCTGGAATGGATTCTGAGCCAGGCAATGATGGGATCAGATTTTTTTAATTTATTTATTCATTTATTTTTGAGACAGAGTCTCTGTATGTCACCCAGGCTGGAGTGCAGTGGTGCAATCTCAGCTCACTGCAACCTCTGCTTGGGAGTTCAAGCGATTCTCCTGCCTCAGTCTCCTGAGTAGCTGGGACTACAGGCACCCACCAACATGTCTGGCTAATTTTTGTATTTGTAGTAGAGACAGGGTTTCACCATGTTTGCCAGGCTGGTCTTGAACTCCTGACCTCAAGTGATCCGCCTGCCTCAGCCTCCCAAAGTGCTGGGATTACAGGTGTCAGCCACCGCGCCCAGTTGATATGATCAGATTTTATGTTAGAAAATGCACACTCAGGGCCGGGTGAGGTGTCTCATTCCTGTAATCCCAGCACTTTGGGAGGCCAAAGCGGGCAGATCACAAGGTCAGGAGATTGAGACCATCCTGGCCAACATGGTGAAACCCTTTCTCTACTAAAAATACAAAAATTAGTTGGGCATGATGATGGGTGCCTGTAATCCCAGCTACTCAGGAGGCTGAGGCAGGAGAATCACTTGAACCAGGAAGTCAGAGATTGCAGTGAGTCGAGATCAGGCCACTGCATCCCAACATGGTGACAGAGCGAGACTCTGTTTCAAAAAAAAAAAAAAAAAAAAAGAAGAAGAAAGAAAAGAAAAAGAAAATGCATGCTCAGTTGCCTCCATAGAGAGAAGAGATGGAAGTGAGACTGAGGGAAGACCAGCCAGGAGGCTGCTGTGTCCAGTGAAGGCTGAGGAGAGCTGAGAGGGCCGGGCAGGGGAAATGGAGGGGAGGGAATAGGTTTGAGAGGTTTTGGAGAAAGATCCCATAGCACATGAGACGGCTGTATGGAATGAGGGAGAGAGAAGAGTCTGGAAAGTCCCTGGTTTCTAGTTGGACAACCTGGTGATGATGCTATTTACTATGACAGGGACACAAAAGCGGAAGGTAGAGATGGGGGCAGGGGATGGGGAACTGCAATTAGATAAGATTGCTTTAAGCTTCATGCAGCTGTGAGATCTCCAAGCCACGGTGCCCAGGGCCAGTCAGAGCTGGCCCCTAACACTCAGGAACATGCAGACCTGGGCATCACCCACTTCAATAGAGCTGTGGAGTCTAGGTCCCCTCTGCCAAGCTGGCAGAAGCTATGACCATATACACCAAATTTGCATATAATTTCAAGGAACTCACAGGCCCAGAAGTTTATCCATGGACTCTGGGTTCATAATTTCTGCTATGGATGATAATAGAAGCCGTACGACTGGATGAGATGATCCTGGGAGAGAATAGAAGAGAGAACGTAGGACTGAGCCCCAGGGAAGCCCAGGGCTAAAGGAACCAGCAGAGGGAAGAGGAGAGAAGAAGACTTCAAAGCAGACCAGGAAAGAGGAGCTGACGTGGTGAAAGAACAACTAAAAAAGGAAAAAAGGAGCCACGTCCTAGAGGGAAGGTGCGTTTGCATCAGTGGCATTCGGTCCATTATTTCCACATAACAAGTTGGCGAGCTCTTTAGAGGCAGGGGCTCCTTCTTCTTTTGTATCCCTGTTATCTCAAAATTGATGCTCATATCACAAACACTCAATTGACACAGTGTCTTTAAATAAGTTTGCAGATAATGAGGAATTAGTAGGTTAGGCCTGACCTACCTTGAAAATAGTCAAACAACAATTAAGCTAGGAAATGAATACTGTGACTATATGGAGGCTTTGCTAACACAGCCTAGAACATAGTCTGCCTTCAATACATGTCGTGGGATCATCATGGAACGTTCCTATGGATTAACGCAAGCTGTGTCACTTTAGCACGGGAGGACACTAACTCCACGGGACCCTCACGTGCAGCTGTGGGGTCACTGAGCCAGGAATCGGGAAAACTGGATTCCAGGCTCGATTCTGCCACTAAGCAATAGTGTTACTTTGGGCTAGTTTCTGCATGCCCCTGAGTCTGAGGTTCAAGTTCCGAAGCTCAGTATTTTTCCCTCTGTGCCTTCCTATTGACCATCAGGGCTCCTGCAGGTGCTAAGGTGGATGATGGGTGCTGGTAGCCAACAGCCTATAAATTTCAAGGCACCTCCTGTACATTGCAGCACAAAAGCTATTATTATCAAGCATTGCAAATCTGCCAACATGTTCTTAGGTTTACAAAAGATGGATCATTTCTTTTCTAAGTAGTGTTTGTACGGATTATTTTGGCCAATGAGCAATTTCTGAGAGTGGGTGACTGTGATTAATTGCCAAATGGTTCTAATCTATTATCTAACAACATTCTTCTAATGGAAAAGGGAAAATGAGTAAATTTGCCACTAATGTAAATGTAACATAAGTAGTAATTAATTTTCTTTATAAAAAGCTGAGCTCATTGACTATATTGAAAGTATAAGCAGGAAAGTAAAACATGACCCTAACAACAAACAGATGGCATTCCCCTTCATGTGCCTGCGCACACTTTTGAAGTTTGAGAGAAACCACACAACACTCATGCTTTCAATTATGTTTCCAACAGAGACAGACCCCAAATGTATTTTTTCTTTATAACTGATTGCTCTTCCACGTCAGTCCATATGCCTGAGCTGGAAATTTACCTCAGCAAAGGAAAGAGAAAGAAACCTCAGCAACCTCCTGACTTGGCACCCTCAGAAATACTAGAATAAATTTAAATCATTATTTGGCTAAGTCCCTTCTCCTCCTTTATTTTCTTCAAGGGAAAATAAAGGTACTTAAAGAAACTGGATCCAATTAAACTAACTTTGTCTTTTCTTTTTCTATTGGAGAAATTTGCTACACTGATAAATATTAAACACGTATGGACTGTTGTTTCTTTCTCTGTATCTTCCTGACTGTATCTTTTCTGCCCAGGCTGAAGGAACATCCACAGATACAGATGTGGCATGTTTATTATCCTTGCCTGGAGCTTCTAAGTCGTGCACAGTATCCACTGTGGTTTGTTTGGAAGTAGAGAAAAAGAGAAATAAGTAATTGGAAATGTGTAAAAATAATTCAAAGGAGTAGTAAGAAAAATGCATTTGGGTTCATTTACTTACTCATTCAAAAAGCATTTATGGAGTGCTTCATTTTTTCGGGTACTTTTCTAGGGCTTGGAAATATGGCAGTGAGGATGACAGATGGGATGTTTGTTGCCTTCAATCACCTTTTATTCTACTATGAGTAGAGAGACAATGGACAGGCCAGCAAATACTCAGTCAGGATAATTGTAGATGGTGGGAAGTGTGGTGGAGAAAATAAAAAGGGTAATGTGATAGGGACCGCACATTTGGGAGGGCGGCTGGGAAACTCTCTGGGAAGCAGTGCTTGAGAGGGAATGAATGAGAGTCGGCCATGCAGACAGCAGGGCAGCCTGGCGATGGGGAGAGAGGTTCAGGCCCGGTGGGAACAACTACAAAGATCATATGGTGGGCAGAGCGCTGTGCATTTCTAGTAGGCACATCCAAAGATGACAACGACTGGTCAACTGTTTCCAGGTATCATTTGTTTTAGCTACATAGTGATCTAGGAGTTAAGAAAAAATCACTTAGGCGGACAGAAAGGGTAGGGGAGTCCTTGGTAAGGCCTTTGTTTTCAATGAAAAGCAGCCCCACATCATATTCTATCAAGGAGCAGCCTGTAAAGTTGAGCTGCAGACATAGACTAGCCACCTGGGAGCTTGCATGGTGAATACTGGCAGGAACTAGGGACTAGACATGTTCAAGATGGGCTCCATCTTCCCTTCTCTTTGTCAACCACCTGTACTGTAAGGAGCAAACAAAATGGCACTGATCAACTGGAAAGGCCATTTGCATAATAAGATTGGGGTAGGGCAACCAGCCTTCCCGCTCACTATGTACACGTTATACGTGATGGAACCAATCCCTGAGCCCTATGGAAATCAGACCCTGCCTCCTCAAACCTGATGATAAAATTGGGCGCATCAGCCACCCGTCCCCTCAAAGGCCCCTCTCTCTGTGGAGAGAGCTGTTTTCTCTTTCTCTTTTCTTCTGCCTTTTAAAGCTCCACTCCTAAACTCCTCGTGTGTGTCCATGTCCCAAATTTTCCTGGCACGCAACAAGGAACCCCAGGGTATATACCCCAGACAATGTAGCCGCTTCAGTCGCATATCTTAATCCCCTAAGAACTCCCAATATCCCCATTTTACAGGAGAGGAAACCAATGGCCAGAAAGATGCAGCTTTCCAAGATCACCCAGGAAATAAAGGATGGAGCTAAGAGTGGGTCACTTCCCGACTCAATTTATGCTACCTTGTCTCAGAAGAGGATGCCTCTGAGGCGGGCATGTAGTTGCCCCTGCAGGACCAAGACAATGGGGCCAGCTGGATTCCACTTTATACAACCAATATGGTCTGTGTCTGTTTGGATTTCTATCTCAGAATGCAATAGACAGAGTGGCTTATAAGCAATGAAGGATTTATTTCTCACAGTTGTGGAGGTGAAGGAGTCCAAGGTCAAGGTGCAGGGAGATTTGGCATCTGGTGAGGGCTACTGTCCGGGCTTCTGGATGGCGCCTTCTCACTGTGGCCTCCCGTGGCTGAAGGGGACAGGAGCCCTCTCCTTTATAAGGGCAATAAGCCCTTCCTGGCCTAATCGCCTTCCAAAGGCCGTGCCTCCTAATACTGTCTTCCTGGGGATTAGAGTTTTAACATGAATTTGGGAGGGACTTAACCATTCAGTCCAGAGCGGATATTATGTCCCAGAATCCTCTAGCTGTGATGGAGCCACGCCGACCTCTGTGGTCTCCGCACCTCCGCAGTGCAGGCCAGGCGTCTTCTAACTCAGCTCCAGCCGCAGAGCCCTGCTGCTCTCACAAACAGCCCTGCTGTCTGCGACCGTAAAAGCACAGCCTCCAACTGGGGAGAGTGCGAGGGACGTTTTCACAGGTACACCGTTTTAGTCATAATTTATTATGCTTTTGATTATGAAGATATTTGAATGGCTCAAACCATGATGCCAAGGAAGGAATAACACGTAAAATACATTTACTCGATGTCATGCTCTGAAATCCCTCAAGCTCCTACACAGAAAAAATAAATTATACTTGTGAATAAAGCCTGTGGTAGGAGGAGGTGCTGTTTCCAATCTGTCACGGTTCCAGCTCCTCAGGCCTTGCAGTCTCAACAGCACCGACCCCAGTAGCTGCCTCCTGTGGACTCTTGACTTGCCACAAAAGCTGATTTTTTTCCCAATTAAATCTTCAAGGTTTGCTGATGATTTATTGATGTAACAATCATACATTGTGGTGCCTTATAAATACACAGTATCGTAATAGCAAACATAGGTGCCAAGTCAAATGAGACATGTCCCTGAGCTCAAGAAGCTCACGGGTGTGATGGTGGAAAGAAGAGGCTTATCGTGGCAGATGGTAGCATAAAAGGAAACTCATAGGGGGCGACGGTGGTAGAAAAAGAGGCTCATGGGGTGGGTTTTAATGAGTGTCCTGACAACAGAAGCGCCAGGAGTCATGAAGATCTAGGATTGCAGGAAGCCCCCTGCACTGCATGACCTCACTTTTCTCTTCTTTCTTTTTTTGTAGGTAGGGGGTCTTGTTTTGCCGCCCAGGCTGGGGTGCAGTAGCGTGATGATGGCTCACTGCAGCCTGGGACTCCTGGGCTGAAATGATCCTCCCACCTCAGCCTCCCAAGCAGGTGGGACCACAGGCACGTACCACCACATCCAGCTAATCTTTTATTTATTTTTTGGAGTGACGACATCACACTGTGTTGCCCAGGCTGGTCTGCAATTCCTGGCCTCAAGTGATCCTCCTGCCTTGGCTTCCCAACATGCTGGAATTACAGGCGTGACCCACTGCATCCAGCATCACCTCGCTTCTCTATGTTAACCTGTGGCAGTCTGATACCCGCTCCCAGGCCGCCCCCAGGTCTGTTCTTGGTGAGCCAAGCTGCCTGAATGAGTGATCATTTGGGTCATCAGGAACTTGACCATATTGCCTGTCAGTTTTGTTTCAACGGCTTTTCATGTTTCAGTTCTTTTGCAGGCCCCCTCCTTTTCGAAGATCTTTCTTTCCATGCTTTTGCCTGACTTCATGGCTCCTCGCTCCCCGCATCACGCCGTGGTGGTGCCTGGATGCGTGACGATGTACTGACCACATTCTGCGGCAATCACTGTTCGTGAAGCTGCCTCCCCTCCTAGACTGAAAACTCTTCGAAGATGGGACCATATGGTTTCTATCACCAAAACCAACATAATAGCAAAGAGTAGGCATTTGATAAGTGTTTATAAAAGGAAAATACACAAATAATACCTGTCTACCCAAATAAGTGATTGTATTTTTCCGGATGCATATGATCAAAACCCAGTGTCTGTGCTTTGTAACCCTGTCCCCAAGCCCTGCGCTCAACAATACAGCTAACACAACTTACTGCATTTGAGTGTAAAGGTTAGTGTATAGCCCTAGGAAAGCATTTTCACCCACAGTATGAGTGGTGCATATTCACATGCACTGTGACAGCTCCATGCATGTTATCACCCTGAAGACCTTCCAGTGGGACAATATGTGGAGGTGGAAGGCAGTGCTATTGATGGTCCCGACCCTGTGTAGGCCTAGGCTAGTGTAGGTGTTTGTGACTTTGTTTATGATGAGCTAGTTTACAGAGTCAAAAAAAAAATTAAATACAAAAAGGCTGAAAGAATAAAGATATAAAGAAAGAAAATATTTTTGTACAGCTGTACAATGTGTTTGCATTTTAAGCTAAGTGTAATTACGAGTCATTTTTGTAATTAAAAAGTTTGACATTACAGTAAGCAAAGGTTAATCATTATTGAAGAAAGAAAAAGTATTTCTTATAAATTTAGTGTAGCATGAGTGTCTAGTGTTTATAAAGGGGTGTACAATAGCGTCCCAGGCCTCCACATCCACTCGCCATTCACTCAGAGACTCACCCCAGCAACTTCCAGTCCTGCTAGCTCCATTCGTGGTTAAGCGCCCTATAGAAGTGTACCATTTTCCACTTTTTATACCATGTTTTTACTGTACCTTTTCTCTGTTTATTATGTTTAGATACATAAATACGTACCATTGTGTTCCAGCTGCCTGCAGTGTTCAGTAGCGTCCCCTGCTGGGCAGGTGTGTATCCCGGGAGCAACAGGCTGTACCATGTGGCCCGGGTGTGGAGGAGGCTGCGCCGTCTGGGTTTGTATGAGTGCACTCTATGATGTTCACACAGCGGCAAAATCACCTAAGGATGCATTTCTCAGAACGTATTCCCTTCATTAAGTGACACGTGACTGTACGTATAATTGGATTATTCTAGAGGTGACTAAAATTACTATTTGGAAATGTTAATTAAGCAACACATGTGACAAATATATACCAAGATTTCTGTGAAATTCAGCCCTCCGTGGCTGAGGTCCGCAATACACAGCCGTCTCTAAGCACCTGGCTTGAGAGTTCCCGCAAAGCAGTAGCCTTGGCTTTGGCCTCTGTGTACCCTATCGCCCTGCACAGTTTCTGATACGTTGAAGGCTTCCAGTAAAGGAAACACTAACACTTAATAGTATGGATGAGGAATCCAGAGTTCTTTGTTTATTTACAGTTTTAAATAATGAAGTCCACAAAAACTAAAAGAGTAAGAGGCTGCCTGTTTATTAAAAGCAGCATTCTATTAGGAAAGCATGTATGTACTGCTGCTGGTGCCTTTGCAGACTTTGAGTGTGTGTGTGCGTGTGTGTGTCAAACTGTGGGAGTCAACTGCAGCACAGAAATCACCACCCAGAGGGGGCTTCTCCAAGTGCGCAAGCTCAGCAGAGGAAGCCTCAGCCCTGCGGAAGCTCAGGGAGGGTGAGGATGGAGGCTGGGAGATATTTCCTCACAGCTCCTCTTGTGCCTTCTCTCTCTTCCCTCCCTACTTGACCCTGCCCACTCCTTCAGTCCCTCATTGTAACCCACTGTCTTTTCAAAGGTACATCATTCTTACATTTGGATTTTAAAATGTGTGACGAAAGCTAGAATGCAACCCAGGAGCAGGAGCTCTGCACTAACAGGAGAGGGCTCCTTCTGGTTTCCATGTTCCACACACCTTTTTCATTAGGCCAAAAGTCACCAAGGGTGCAATGGGAGCTGGACTATGCTGTCCCCTTTGACAACATGATTTCACAGAGTGCTTCCTGCGCCGATGCAGAGAACTGTCGCCAGATTCGTGAGCAATAATGGTATGAACAGCCATTAATTAGAGAGGGAGATTAGCTTAAACAAAAGGGGATTGAATTTAGACCCACTCATTATCTTTTCCATTGTTAGCTCTATTGAACTCCATTGTGGTCGGGATAAGAACAAGAGAAATGGGGATTGTGTGGAGTATGAATCAATTAACACATATATGCCTGCTGTGTGCACACATTGCCCTTTAAGAGATAAAGAAAAATGAGACATGATGGTATAGAACACACACACACAGAGGTAAAGACGAAAAAGACTCAGATTCCACCTTTTTCTTTCTTCATTATGGAACCTTGTTTTTTCTCTATACTTAGCTGTAGCCCCTCTCCTCCTCTCAAACATAGAGTTCTACATAGAAACTTTTTCTTCTGCCGTAAAATCAGTAAGCTCTCTTGGGACAGTTTGCAAAGTATTAGATTTTACTCAATTAGAATTGTTCGCATAGGGCATGGCAGAGTGGTTCTCATTCCTATCAGACCAAGGCCCTCTTTAAGACATAAAACTGTTTGTGTTTTACCTTGAAATGAAATCATTAGATAATGTAATTTACCTGAACACCAACTTTAATAACAACATAAGAAAACTCTCAAGCATTGTTTATATAATAGTGAACATAGCTGCTTTCCAAATTACAAAAAGAAAACAAAAATCAATATAATGCCGCAACAGTGAATATAGAAGAGAAGTAAAAGGAAGAAAAATAACATTTAAGGAATAATAAATATATAATTTCTCTGATTCTTTTCTTTGTTTCATACAAGATGGGTAATTTTTAGATTATCTCTTATTGAAATGATGAGTAGTAGATTGTCTTTAAAATACTTTCACATACTATTAACCAGAAAATCAAATGATAATAATTTCTGCACCTTTGCTGGGACACACACTTTTTTGATCATCAGATGGACTTTTCCCCATGAAAAATGTGCAAATGCACGCAACACTCACAAACAAATGTTTCTGTATGTTTTGTGACCCAGATCCCTCTGGCATCCCAATGACGAGGACTTCAGCATCACTTTCAAATGCAAACTGACTATGCTTACTACACCCTTCCTTCCATTGTCCATCATCCAAACTGACTATGCTCACTACACCCTTCCTTCCATTGTCCATCATTCAAACTATGCTCACTACACCCCTTCCCTCCATTGTCCATCATTCAAACCGACTATGCTCGCTACACCCCTTCCTTCCATAACTGACTATGCTCACTACACCCCTTCCCTCCATTGTCCATCATTCAAACTGACTATGCTCACTACACCCTTCCTATCATTGTCCATCATTCAAACTGACTATGCTCACTACACCCTTCCTTCCATTGTCCATCATTCAAACTGACTATGCTCACTACACCTTTCCTATCATTGTCCATCATTCAAACTGACTATGCTTACTACACCCTTCCTTCCATTATCTATCATTCCAACTGACTATGCTCACTACACCCCTTCCTTCCATTGTCCATCATTCAAACTATGCTCACTACACCCTTTCCTCCATTGTCCCATCATTCAACTAGACATGTATTCAGATATTTAAGGTTATCTATAAAGGTTTAATTTGTTTTTCCTAATGTCTGTCTACCCCTTCCCTCAATTGTCCCATCATTCAACTCTATACATATTCAGATATTTAAGGTTATCTATAAAGGTTTAATTTGTTTCTCCAAATGTCTCTGTACAGGTACAATATTAAGAAATTAGTCATCTAAAGTCCATATTTTTAAAAATCATTATAAATATATAATAATTTTATGAGCACACCAAAGTACAGTAATTCCTTCTCATCATGGTTCTCTTTATGCAAAATTCGAATGGGTACAGATTTTTGTTTGAATACCTTTTTTTCTTAAATGTGGGAATTATATATATATATATACACACATATATATATATATATATATATATATATATATATATACACACTCAAGTTGCCACCATGTCATATAATGGAATATCTCTCCAGGTAGAAGAGATCTCTGATTATTCAACTTTGTCTTCATTCTCTCTGTTGCCATCTACCCAATTGGTAATATATTATCTTTAATTTTATTTTCTTTTATTACATTTCATTGTGTGTTTAACTAGTCATTTAACTAGCATTTATATAGCATATATGTGGAGCTTATTATATGCCAGGAATTGTTCCAATCACTTTACTGATACTAATTCATTAACTCCTTCCAATAATTTTATGAGATAATTGCAATTGTTATCTCGGTTTTACAGATGAAGCAACTGAGGGACAAGAGGTTAAATAATGTGCCCAAGATCGTAAAGCTAGTTACCACCAGAGCTGTAATCAGAGCTGTAATCAGAGCCCAGTTAGTCTGGCTCCAGAGTTAGTCCTTAAAATCGATTATCACTCACTTTTCTGTTGTGTGTGGTGTGTGTGTGTGTGTGTGTGTGTGTGTTCTCACATGCTGCTTAGGTAGTCCCCACGATATTGACCAGGAAGTGGATTCTGGATTTTAGTTGTTTTACACAGGAAATGTCATGCTGTCCTTTAGAGAGATCCATTACATCTTGGACCTAAACATGAGACTCTCTTTCTGCCAAACAGGATTTAAAATGCCGATCCAATGACCATAGAATAGAATGTGCTCATGGTGGCTGAGGAAATGCAGAACCAGGGAGAGTATTGGAAACAGTCCTGTAATTAGATACACGGAAAACTGCAGCATCAAAAAACACGGTATGATCCTTAAGACGTGTGTTTTAAAAAAGCTTCATGAAAATAAACTGGTAAAAAACACTGAACACTTTAAGGAACTACTTTGAATGTGTACAGAAACAATAGGCCTTCTAATAACGTTTGGTTGATTTGCTACAAGTTTGTAAAGATATGAAAAGGTTCCAATACAATGTATGGAAGCGTACATTCATTCATTCAACAGATATTTGTGTAAGTCCCTGTGTGTCCACTGTTCCAAAGAGAATGAGGCAAAACGTCCGCCCTCATGGGCCTTACATTCTAGTAGGAAACATTTGCAAGATAAATAAGTTAGTTTACAACATGTCAGGGAATAAACAGTGAGAAGGAAAATAAAGCAGGAAGAAGGGATGAGACGGGGCAGCATTTTAGATCGGTAGTTTTTAAACAAACAGATCATTGTTTTCTATAAATATTTATTCCAAAATACCACATAACGATATCTTTCTTCTGTTTCCTGGTCTTCTCCTTTCTCTTCAACATAGCTAATTTAAAAGGACATTTTGATCCCTAATTAACATTTCGCCCTGATATCCAGACAATATCTATCCTGTGAATCCCTATGCGTTCGCAAGTTACTCTTCGACGCAGCCGTTGCCGGTGGCCTCAATTTCCATTCCACATTCACACTTTAGAGTCCTCTGTCTTCTGCTAAGCACTCCAGAAAGCTCTGGGAGGGAGAGGTAAAGTTGCTGATACTGTAGACCTTGCTGGCACATTTCCTAGGGTGCTGAAGCACCACCCTTGGGCTCCTGAATGACAGGAGAAAGAAAACAGTTAACTCACTGTGAGCCTTGGATGGTGGAATAATAATCACGGCATTTGGGGATAGCTGCAGATGCTGAATCTGAGCCCCTCACTTCTACGCTGGGTAAGCTGAGGTGTGTCACTGCAGGACAGCTCTCCAGGTGGCCTTGGAAGATGTCCTGGGAATGCAACACTCTGAGATAAGGGTGAGCAGGCTGGAATTCTCAGGCTCTGTTCCCACCCTCCCCTAGAAACGGGACGTCCTTCAATTCTGGAGCTCCTTGCATCATGTTCCCCCGTGGTGTAAAACCCAGTGTGGGCTGCATTTCAGGGTCCCTCATCTACAGCACAACGGGGGCACACACAGTCAAAGCTCCATCCACCCCGGCAGCTTTCTGAGTCTCGAGGAAGCAGCTCCCACAAACTCCTGTTGTTCCTTGCTGCCTATCCACAAGCATCAAATCTGCGTCATGTGAGTTGATGCCTGGGAGTGTGCTCTCCCTCCACAGACTCAGGCACGCCAGTCACCGCTCACAGTGAGCCTGCCTCACAGGTCGTTCTTTTAATTTGTAAAATGAAAATGCTTTTATCTTCCCTTCAGGATACTGTGAGGGTTACATAGAATAATTTACACAATGTCATTAAAACACATATGAACACTTCAACAAATGTTGATTCCGTTCACCCCTACTCACCCCTGCCAGCTCATGCAAACTTTTTTGCTTTGTGAGTAAAAAGAAAAAAAAAAATACACACTGTGAACTGACAGAGAGATTCCAGGTGGCTGGTGTTGGGTGCCTAAAAGGTCACCAAATTAATGGTTCTACTGTTTAAAATTCGTTTTCGAATCGCTGTGAATGGGCAGATAAGACATTCATAGACTGGAGTTGCAGCCTGGGCAACACATTGAGCAAATAGGTGAGATTAATTATTTCCATCCCGTTCAAACCCTTAATGAATGCTTTTCGGGAGACGAGAATGGTGGGGAGGGTTTTTCTGCACAACCACGGAATCAAGTTAGAGCAGCCAGATCACATCAAGTTTTGTGTCTTTCAACTTTTGAAAGACAACCTTTAAGACTGCAACAGGGGTACCTGGACAAAAAAGAGATAGTCTTATGACAGTATAGATGAGGAAGAGGCAGGCTAGTCGGCAATACTCTTTGACCAGGCCCAAGGATGGAGGCTGAGTAAACAAGGTCAGCCAGCATCAGCAAGAAGGAGGACCCCAAACAAAATCAATCGACTCATCTTTGCAGCTCTCACAACTATGTCCTGGAACATTTAGATTTCATATCTCCTTTTCTACAAAGTTAATTGTGGTCTGCTTTGTAGATGTGGTGAAGAAATATAAAATAAATATGTAAACAGGCTTGCATGTTTTTTAAATTAAAATACAGGTCCTCCTAGACTTCCAGTGGGGTTACAGCCTGATAAACTAATCATAAGTCTAAAATATCATAAATCAAAATGCATTTAATACCTTGATAAACCCATGATAAACTCAAAATATCCTAAGGTAAACCATTGTAAGTCCAGATGCTCCTTGACCTACGATGGGGTTACGTCCCAATAAACCTATTGTAAGTCAAAAAATCCTAAATTCAAGTTAGTCAGGGTTTGTGTTTCTTTCTCTTAGTTCTCCAAACATTCATGTTGAAGGACCTAGAGAGGAACGCAGGGGAGATTTTAGAAAGACATAAAGGAAGTTTGCAAGAACGTATCCTTTATGTCCCATGGTTTCTTTTATGAACGTAAACTTTTTATTTAGTATAATATGCATCCAGAGATGTGGATGGATTACAAGTGGTACAGCTCAACAAACTTGCACAAAACAATCACAACCATCTAGTCAGCACCTGGATCAAGAAACAGAGAGCATTACTGCGCCCCCAAAACCTTCCTGGTGCCCTTCCAGTCACTACCTGAGCCTCTACTCTGAGCCTCTAAGACCATAGTAATGTTTTACCAGTTCCTTTTTTTTTTTTTTTTTTGAGATGGAGTCTCACTCTGTCAACAAGATGGAGTTCAGTGGCGTGATCTCGGCTCACTGCAAACTCTGCCTCCCGAGTTCAAGCAATTCCCACCTCAGCCTCCCGAGTAGTTGGGACTACAGGCACGTACCACCACACTCGGTTAATTTTTTTGTAGTTTTAGTAGAGACGGGGTTTCTCTATGTTGGCCAGGCTGGTCTCGAGCTCCTGACCTCGTGATCTGCCCACCTCGGCCTCCCAAAGTGCTGGGATTACAGGCCTGAGCCACTACACCCAGCCAGTTTTACCAGTTCTTAAACTTAAGTCAATGTAATTGTACAGTATGTACTGTTGTATGTGCTTCTTGTCTACAACATGGCATTTGTGAGATGCACCTGTGCTGTAGCGTGTAGTCGTTTGTTCATGCTCATTGCTGCATTGTATCCCAGCTTCAAAAAAAGTCGACTCTGCTGTTGATGGGCACCTGGTAGTTTCCAGTTGGGAGCTATTGCAAAGAGTGCTGCTATAAACATTTTAATAATATCTATCTTTTGGTGATCACATGCACACCTTTCCATTGGGAATATGCCTAGGATTGGAATTCTTGGGTTCAGTTATGCCCAGCTTTAGTAAATACAGCAGTGCACACCCCCAGGAGCAGAGTAGGAGAGTCCCAACTGCTCTACATCCTAGCCAACACTTAATACTGTCTGTATTTTCCATCTTAGCCATTCTAGTTGGTGTCACATATATTTTAAAAGAATATAATCAAGAAAAATGGATTATAAGAGATAAAAGTAATATAACTGACCACTGTTGTGGTGGACCTGGACACCCACATTTTAAACAAACTCCAATTGCTTTTGGTGCAGATTGTAATGGTACAACAATTACAGAAGCACTGCACCAGTGGAGGAAAACTACAGTTTTTGAAAATTGGTATGTGGTAGGCACTAGATTGAGTGATTTTACTATGTATTTCAAAATAACCCAGATTGGTTAATGTTATTCGCCTCCATTTACAGAGGTGCAATGAAGATTCAGAAAGTCAGGCATTTTTCCCATGTTACACATCTTGTCAATCGTAGGGCCAGTGATTCAAACCCAGATCTTTCCTCCCCTGAGCCTATAACAACCAAGAGGCAATCAATCTCTTCAGTGCAATTGTTTCTGAGCAGCCATGTCTTGGGTGTGGAATCCCAGATTTGGGTAAAAACTATATCTTTTCAAGATGTGAAATTGTCTCTCCACAAAAAACGGTCATAGCCAATCTTTATGCAGCAATAGCACAATTTTTGTGCAGCTCTAGTGAGTATTGAAAAGTTCGTAAAGGGCCTGGAAACAGGTATTTACTGACATGCCACCTGGTCACGTCCTGGGCCTCGCATAGTTTGTTGTTTGAATCAGTGTGCGGGTGAGTGTGTGTGCCAAAGGGCAGGCTCGTTAAAATTGCAGGTTCATTAGTTATTCAATACTGCCAGACAAGTTACCCCAAATAGGACTGACTTACATTTCTCACAGCTCTCTGGGTGGGCCAAGAGGTGCTTTTGCTGATCTTGCATGGGTTCAGCTGTGTTGGATTAAGCTAGAGGGTTGGCTGGGCCTGAGCTCAGCTGGCTGAACCGCAAGAACTCCTCCTTTTCAGGTCGTCTTTCAATCTCAAAGAGGATCATTGACTTCCTCTCATGAAGGCAGCGACGTCCCAGGAAAGTGAAGGCAGAAGAGGCAAGACCTCTTGGGGGTCTTTCACTGCATTCTGTTAGTCAACGCGAATCACAAGTTCAGCCCAGAGTGAAGGGGTGGAGAAATAGATCATGCCCTGATAGGAAAGCTACAAAATAGCATGGCCATGCTTTTCAGTCAGCCACAGTGGATGAAAACTTGGATATGCCAGCACAAAGGAGAGCTGAATAAACATTAATATTTTACTGGTATCATAACTACTACTAAAATCATTAAATATAAAGAAAGCAGTGGTTTTTTAAATTATGTTTCTTAGCATCAATTAAGGCCCTTGAATAAATATCAGCCCAGTGCCAAGTGCACATGTATTCGTTAAAATCCAGGTACTTATATTACCACAAAACCAAAATGAAGTTCCCAGCAGCGCGTCTCTAAGCTGCCTTGATGCCATTTCTCTCCCTGACCACGGTCAAGGCCCCAGTAACCTCTTAATGCGACTGCCGGCACTTGTTTTCACATACCTGGACATTTCTGGGTTTCTTCTTCTATTTTCCTTCCAACGCTTCTCTCCCCACTCAGCTATCTGTAGTTATAACTGGCAATAAATACTCATTGCTTCAGGTTGGCTTTCTTTCTGGTACCCCGACCCTTGAGAGATGATGATACTTGATTTTCTCTTTTTCTTTGATTTCTGACCCCCTGTCCATCTTTAACCACATCTTGTTGCCTATGTCTCATCTCCTCCTCCATGAGATGGGCCACCCCACTCCATTCCTGCATGGAACCTTAGTCCCCGGACTCTGCCTGGCTCAGGGTTAAGGGTCAGACACTTGCTGAGAATGGCAGTTCAGACTCCAACACACTCTCTCAGAACCCATTGGATAACTGCAAGGAAAACACACACAAAATAAAACACAACCCAGCAATTCCATACGTGTGCAAACTATGACTGCATTCAAGAAGGCCAAACTTACTAGAAGGCATTCACATGAGCATAAATAACAGAATCTAAATCGAAATAGTCATAGTAAAGACTGTGTTCCAAGTTTTTGAACTTTTTATGTTTATTACTTCGAAAGTACTTGGTTTAGATGGTGCCTAATGAAACAAGAGGATGTAATGATGGTGGATATTGAAGTTCATAAGTTGAGGTTAATTTGACCCAAATGGAAGCTAATGTGCTGTTGTGGAGGATAGTACAGAGGAAGAATTTAGAAAGATAATCTCAGTGCTATGTGCAGAAGCCACTACTGGCCCCATTTCTAGGGCACTTCGATGAGAGAGTAAGTAAATGGAAATATCTGAACATAAGAAAGAAGAAGCAACAGACTTGAAGACAAGCCAGCCATAAGTGGAAAAGTGCAGAAAAAGGATAAAAATGACCAGAGTTTGCATTTTATGTCACGACTTACACATATGAAAAAGCTGGGAAAAGGACAGGGGAACACAATCCTGCTTTTATGATGAAGGGGAGATGTGTGTAGCAGATGCACCTGTGGAAATCACTTAAGCAAAGCCTGAGAATGTACCTGCACCAGATCTGTGTAAACTGCATGCTTTTGACAAATGACAGTGCTCCTCCTGTCCAGCCTGCCACCGCTCAATGGCCCTGTATGAAAGTTTCCTTAATAAACCCTGTGTCCTGTTCACTGGCTCCAGGTCTTTTCTTCAGCCTCTTGAACCTGTTGCCATCCCCACCAAAGCCAATAAGGATCCAGCACAACTGGTGAGGAAGCCAGTAAGTCAGAGCAAACCCCGTGAATGCCAAGATGATAGCATCAGGGAAGGGGAGATCCGTGGGGGAGACCCTGGGCTGGCTGTCCATGCCTATGATCAGGGAAGGGGAGATCCATGGGGGAGACCCTGGGCCGGCTGTCCATGCCTATGATCAGGGAAGGTGAGATCCGCGGGGGAGACACTGGGCTGGCTGTCCATGCCTATGATCAGGGAATGGGAGATCCATGGGGAAGACCCTGGGCCGGCTGTCCATGCCTATGATCAGGGAAGGGGAGATCCGTGGGGGAGACCCTGGGCTGGCTGTCCATGCCTGTGATCAGGGAATGGAGATCCACGGAGGAAACCCTGGGCCAGCTGTCCATGCCTATGATCAGGGAAGGGGACATCCACAGGGGAGACCCTGGGCTGGCTGTCCATGTCTATGTGGGCCTTATAGCCACTATCCTTAATGGATGAAGCCAAATGAGTGAGTATGATAACCCCCTGAAAATGCTGAGAGGTCTGGAAGAGCTGTGGCAGGGGGCATATCTATCTAAGCAAGGTTAGATGCCCAAGTTTTGGCAGCCACAACGGGCGGCTGCTCCTGACTACACTCCAAACAGACACTGAGGCTCAGCTCACAGCACAGGCAAAGGTGCATCAAGTACAAGAAAATTTATGACCAGAAAGAGATACAAGATTATCTCAGGTTGAAACATCAGAGACTTACTGTCCTGCCTGCAAGAACAGGGCGGCAAAATGGAGACTCTGGATCATTGGGTAGCCCATTTGAAGGGTCGCTGACTGCCACATCTACTAGTCAGTACTATCATGACCCAATCTTCCTGGGGCCCTAAGTCCTAGGGCCCCATGGAGAGCCCCGCTGGGAGGAGAGTGAGGACAAGGACTGAGATAAGCCCATAGAGGTTACCAGCCCCCGATGCACATCTAGTGGACACCACCAAGATAAAGGCAGGCCAATCACGCCCTCAGGGAGTAGACCCACAAAACTCTCCCCTGCCTGAAAGATGGCAGCACGACAGTGCAAGGCAGCACCACTGTGGAACTGTCTCCACTGCCTGAAAGATGGCAGCACAACACAGCACAGGGCGGCACCACTGTGGAACTGTCTCCCCTGCCTGAAAGATGGCAGCATGACACAGCGCAGGGCAGCACCACTGTGGAACTGGTGGAGCTGGGAAATAGTTTCAGGAGGAGGGGGGAGAGCTGATCACGGGTGGCTTCTACCTCTAGGGGACATGAGGTGCTGTATCTCTGCATTTGAGGTGAGTGGAAAGGTGTCCACCACAATCCACCCGGTCCTGAGGCAGCACCGCTGCAGCTCCAGTAATGAGGATTGAGCCATCCCCATGGTAGCTGGGTGGTTGTGGCTGCAAGGGGAACTGGCCAAATGAGTAAGACACCACCCCCACCCCGTCTCCTCTGCAATGCCAGCCTACCACGAAAATGCCAGACATTCTCTGGGAATTAAGAAGGAAGCATATTGTCTATGCTGAGCAGACATCCCCACGTCTCCTCTGCAACGCCAGACTATGACGAAAATGCCAGACATCCTCTGGGAATTAAGAAGGAAGCATCCTGTCTATGCTGAGCAGACATCCCCACGTCTCCTCTGCAATGCCAGACTGTGACGAAAATGCCAGACATCCTCTGGGAATTAAGAAGGAAGCATGCTGTCCATGCTGAGCAGACATCCCCACGTCTCCTCTGCAACACCAGACTATGACGAAAGTGCCAGACATCCTCTGGGAATTAAGAAGGAAGCATGCTATCTATGCTGAGCACTATCTAGTTTCCAAAAATCAGCTTTTGTTCACTGGTGGCATGAAAGATGTCATCTTAGAGCCAGCATCCAGTCAGTGGTACGGTGTGCTAGTGTCTCTCCTGAACCCTTAGGCAGGACAGCCAGAGTCTCCAGTGGCCCGAGCAGCCACTGGCTTAGGAGACATGAAGAAACTGCATGGGCAAGGGGTGCATGCTACAAGGATGAAAGTCAAGGGCGCCAAAGGAAAGGGGGCAACCAAAGGGCCAGCAGGGTGACCCACTGGGTGTGACACTAGTCACTTGGTAATATGCAAAATATTGTCGCTCCCTCAAACATAAGAACAACGGGCCTTTACCATCTTCCCCTGGAAATATCATCCCAGAGGGGGAGGGTACATGTGTTCCATTAACTTCGAGTGTTTTTCCAGCTTACAAACTGCAACAATCACCTTGCTGTCTCACTTGGAGAACAGAGGATGGGTGGTCAACACAAAGTCCAGGGGCCAGGCTTATCAATCAAATACCTGGGTGTCATCTTGTTGGATGGTGTGCAGCAAACCTCTTTGCCGACTGGGTGCAGATGGTGGCATCTCTCCAGAAAAAATCCAGACTGTTGGGTGTGCGAAGAGCTGTCCTCTCCACCGCAGGCCTGCCACTGAGCATGTAAGGTCAACTCCCAAGCACTTGGGAAAACGTTATGACTGTTATTGTATTTGTTATTCTGTTTTGTTGTAATTTGTGTTGCTGCTGTGAGATCTGGCTGCAATGTTCCTCCCCATACCTGGCCCAGGGAGGTCGTGGAGGAATGACACGGTGAGAATGTGAGCGGCATTCCAGGGTCTGCTGGGGAGGAGGGTACGGTAGACACACCTGACAGGAATAACTTAATTTAAGCATACCCTGAGCATGCAGGCTCACCTAGTCTGTATAGACTGCATGCTTTTTATAAATGGTAGCAGTTCTGCTGTCCATGTCCAGCCTCCCACCAGTGGACTGCCCTGTATGTAAGTCCCCTCAGTAAACTCTCTGTCTCATTCACTGGCTCCAGGTCTCTTCTTCAGTCTCTTGAACTTGGTGCCATCCTTACTGAAGACAACAGGGATGCAGCATGGTAAGACCTCCTTTAGACAATAGAAGAAAAAAATTGAGGACTGAAAAAAATGAGAAGCCTGACTAAATAAAAATTATATCTAGGAATCTGTTGTTTTGTTGGTAAAACAAGATTGTTCCAATATTTTTCATGTTTAAATGAATACCTAAAAATGCTATGACTAAAAGAAATACAAACTTCAAGGTATATTGTTAATATTCTTCTTCCTCTTGATAATTAGTTCCTGGAAATTTCCAATCAGCTTTGTATTTGAAGAAAAGAACTATGCATATTTATATTAACAGAAAGAGAAACCAGTAAAATAGAATTAATTGAAAATGGTAGCATTTCTTCTAATATATATTTTTAAATGTTTGAAGTGATATTAAGAGAAAGTTTAATGTAGCAATGGCCATTTAACCTAACACTCATGGTGACTTCCTTATGGCAATCTGAACTTGCTAGACAAGGGCAACAAGTTCTGCGTTCAGTATCCAATTTGGGATTCCTCTGTCATACCTCTCCTTCACCTGTGCTTTTCCAGATATTGTTTCTAGAGAAGTTTGGCATGGAAGGAACTTTGTCTTATGTAAATGAGAGGAAATGGGTCTCACATCAATGTCATTTTGCATATGACATGTGGGCATATTTTACCTTCAACAGAACAAATGCTTTCTTTTTTTTTACTTCTTTATCTACAATTATGAACTATAGGGAGAGTTTCAGACACTGGCAAATATAGCAACAAAACTGAAAATGCATTTAGTATACCTTCTAGCACTTAAGTTAAAGGTTACAAGAGAGCAGGCCTCAGAGTCCGAGAGATTTCAGTTCCACCTGAAATGCTGAAAATCGTTCTGGAGAGTGAATAGGTGAGTGTGTTGCATCCCTGTCCTGGTTTCAGTTCTCTTGGAAGTTATGTGAGGATCTGGTCTCACACCTTACCCCGAGAGAGCCCTGAAGGGCCCAGGATGTCCACAAAGAAGCTGAGGGGGCTGGACATGCACCTGGCAGAGGCCTCCACAGCCCCTGTGAAGCCTGCTGTGGACTCACTTCAATCAAGCATCCTCACCACCTTCTCCAATTTTCATCACCTCCCTTGAAAGAAACACAGTTTATTACTCTCATAGCAGCCTTCACGGTGTATGAGCTGGAAACAGACCGTGCAAGACTCTCTAGGGTGTAAACAGTCTATTCTTGTGCTTCTCTGAGTATTTGGAGGAAAAGAACCAGATTTGGAGGAGGTTGGTTGGTTTCTTGTTTGGTTTTGTTTTTCCTAATCTATTGTAGACCAACACTATTAAAAACTACAAAATAAATGAATTGCTAAAACAGACCACATTTTTACTTCACATGGCAACATCAAATTTCTTTACAAGTTTCTAAATGGTCAGTTTCTGGACTTATCATTCCTAATGTTAGGTCCCCAGATCCACAAAGGACTCCTGGTCACTGTCTCCAGATCATTCTTTGAATAGCACTGGTCTAGTCCAAAGCTGCCTGGTTAGAGGGTCCCCGCCCTACTAGAGGAAGAAGGGGCAGGCCACAGCAGCAGGGCACAGCCAGGGCCTGCCCACTGCCAGGTGTGCTTCGTCTGAGAGACGTGGCGTGTGTCCACACTGCACACCACAGAGGTGGCTTCAGTGCCATAAATGTAGAGAGAGTCAAGTCTCCATGGCACAATCCATCATAGCAAATTTTTCCATCAGAGCCTGTCTTCTAACCAAGGCTACAAAGTCAATATTCCTACAGGGGTAACAGTTTCTTGCATTTTTCCCTATCATAACATTTTCATATCATAACACAGTCATAAAAATAATTAATTCCACAAGGCATTCATCTCATTTATATCTTGATTGACATTTGAAACCCCTAACCAAGATCCATAAAGAATTTTTTCCTCCCCTTTCTCAAATTTTAACATTTAGTTCTCATCCAGAAAATAACATAAGGGTTCTACTATATTTGTAGGTTTAATCAGCCAATTGCTTTGCACACCTGAAGTTAAGAAGAATTGATCAATTCCTAATTTCTACTGGAGCAAAAACTATGATGAAAAATCAATAGTTTAAAATGTTTAAATCACTGTTTAAAATACTACCTTATAGAGCAAACAGAATGTAGGGATTCTACACCTGACACACACCAACTAGAAAAAAAAGTATAAATCCCCATTCAGACGTATGTGAAATCACTGCCTTTGCACAGACCATTCTTTGACGGGCATTTATGAAGCCCAAGCCCACAGCAAAGGTCAGGCCTTCTCTTTGCCTTCAAATGTTAGCAGGACCTCAAAACAAATACACAGCTTCCATACTGAGCCAACTCACCCTTCTTCTAGGCCAGTGGTTCTCCAACGGGCACAATTTTGCCCACAGGGGACATTTGACAAAGCTTGAAGATATTTTAGTTGTCACAACTGGGAGAATACTACTGGCCCATGGTGGGTAAAGACCAGGATGCTGCCAAACATCTTACCATGGACAGTGAGGCCTCATAACAGAGGATGTGCCAGCCCAGAAGGCCTGTAGAAGTGAGGCTGAGAAATCCTGTCCTAGGCTGTGCACAGCCACGTTCTCAATAAAAACTAGATATTCTCACTATTTCAACTGGAAACCGGTGGTGTGCTGGAGCCAGCTCGTGCCGGCTCATGAGAGCCCGCTGTGCGAAGCTTCCCATCGCCATTTTTAGGGACATCGTGTTGGGAACAAAAAGTGGGTCAATATTTAGACCACGGAAATTGACAAATGCTACAAAGCACAGCCTTTTTCAGGGAGTGACGTGTTACAGGTTTTTCAGTGTATCACTGGGTGCAGCCCTCCCCAGTGGGAGTAATATGGACTGGTGGACTCTAATTTCTGCTCCACCTGTTGTCTCTCACTTCTTGGATCATTAGCAAAGTGCCACTGATCACACAGGATGATAAGGGCATGCTCTCACTCAGACAGTTGTTCAGTTTCTCCAAAGTGAAAGTTCACCTCTGCACAGAAGAGAATGGATTGTCCAAAGCCCCCACATCACATTACACACACACACACACACACACACACGTGAGTACACACATGCACACTTTCTCACTGAGGCTGCAGGACTCAGGAGAATTTACATGGAAAATATCCACAACTTTCCCCAGGTAAGAGAGTTGGCTAATCCCCTGGGTTAGCCAGTCCAGGCCATGCCCACTTGTAGATTTCCTTACATGCAGCAAACCCATTTCCCTTAGTGTTTAATCTTATTCTCATTGGACTTTCTATTACATGAAGCCAAAATCTCCCTGCTACAACTTCTAGAATAAAACTGCAATGTTCTTGTGAAACATTTTTTAAAAGGCATACTCTTTATTTCATTTCTCAGATTTTTAATCAGAATTCTAAAGTATAATTTTTTTCTGAATAGAAGCAAAAAAAAAAAAAAAAAAAAGCAAAACCTATGACCCAAGATCATTCCGTTCCCATTATGCCAATCCTCAACATGGATTGGTGCCTCCAGGAACCAACGTTCTGTGTGGTGTCTGCGGAGGGAGGACGAGCTGGTTAGCAAAGCCTGCTCTATTTTCCTATTACATCAGATGCTCTTTTATTTGATTACACTCAAGAGACGGTAGAATGTAACAAACACATCAGTTTAATATGTATGGATGGTCAAGATGAAACAAGTTCCTGCAGCTTCTTCCTCACTGATTGCAACTGAAAGCTCTGGGCAAAATCAGAAAGCAACTGCTCAAGAGCTCCAGACATCCACAAAAGCAGACAGACTGGGAAGGGAATAAAAACTCGGGGAGGCAACCCATAGAGGGGTATACTAACGTGCTAGAGTCATTGCAGATGGCCACAGACTGGCTGGCAATGGAAATCTACTCTCTCACGGTGTTGAAAACTGGAGTCCAAGATTCAGGTGTGCAGGTGCTTCTTCCAAGGCTTCTGGCCCTGGCTTGCAGGTGGCGTCTTCGCTCTGTGCCTCCTGCAGTATGTGTGTCGTGTTCCAGTCTCCTCTTCCCATCAGGGCACAGGCCAGATTGCGGCCCCTGATGCCCTCATGTTACCTCAATCACGTCTTTAAAGCTGCTGTTTCCAAATACAGTCACACTCTCAGATACTGGGGCTGGGGCTTCATTTTGTGAGTTTCAAGGGGGACACGATTCAGTCCATATAAAGGAAGTGCTTCCTTTGAGGGGTTAGTTTTTTTGTTTTTTGGCTCTCCCCAGTGGAGCGCCAGCTGTGGTGGCACAAGCAGCTAATTCCCAGGAGAAATCCAGTGTCTGTGGCCAGATGCAAAAAGGATCCTGTCTTCAAAGCGTGGGGGGAAGAAATTGTGTGTGTTCTCTCAATCCCCGTCTCTCCCACCCCTCTTCCTCCCTCCTCTGCTCCGCTTTTCCTGTCTCCTTCCTCTCGCCCCTCTTTCCCCAGCTCTTCTGTCCCTCTCTTTTTCCCTCCCCACTTCTTTTCCCTCCTCCCTTTCTCTTCTCTCCCCTTTCTCTCCCTACTCTCCCTCCCCAGCTTCCTTTCCCTCCATCTTCCTCCTTCTCCCTCTCCCTCCTTCTCTCTCTCTTCTTGTCACGTTTCCCTTTAGGTGGCACCAGTTATAGAGCCACATCTGTGTGGTGCCTCAGGGCAAGGACTTTAAAAGAAACCCCTTCCTTCTGGCCAAAGGATCAGGAGAAGGAGCCCCTGTAAGCTAGGGAGGTGGGGGGAGCCCTTAGAGGAGAGAGCTGCAGAATGGGCTTGTCTGGCTCTGTGTGTAGCACCCCCACAGTCCTGGTCCCCACCCCCCCAGCTGTTTGTGCACAGGACAAAATCAGAGCCACCAGAGCAGCTTAGCAAAGGCCTTGGGACCCGCCCACGCACAGGGAGACAGAACTTGCCCTCTGAGCCAAGCCACATGGATTTGCCTGCGGGGAAAAAATAAACAACATTCCCCGAGGGGTTTTTAACAAGGCTGCATTCCTTCTAGTTTCTTATATTCTGTGTTCTTGATGCCTTGGCATCTGGGGCCTTGCTGACCTGGGACAGACTACCCCTCCCAGGGTTAACTGATTCCTAGAGATAGCAAACAACTCACCTGTGAGCACAGCCTTCAGGGGAAACCAACCAAGCTGGAGTCAGCCCACCCCCACCTCCCCTGTCTGGCCCTTGAGCACCAAACACATTTGCCCCTTCCCTGATCGTCTCAGGGCCAGGTGCCCAACAACTCAGGTGGCCCCCAACCCAGAGCCTGCTGAAAGCATTCAAACTGGCCAGTCCTAAGTCAGCATACGCTGCCTCGCCCATTCCTTCCTGCAGATCCCATGATGAAGGTGCCTGCCACCTTCTCCTCCCTTTCCTTCTGTCCATGACCAACCCTTGTGCTTTCATGGTGTCCCTGCATGTGGAGGCACACCCCACCTCTTGAGAGCTGTGAGCAGCAAATTATATTTTGGATGGCAATTGTGACTTCCTTTGGTGGCCTCACCATACCTGGATAATAATAACTTACACTTTAAAATGAAGACCCAGAGCTTACACAAAATCATGTCGAAAATGACCATGATGCAACTGAAAATTAATTGACATATAAATCACCAGGAAAATGTGACCAGTTCTCAAGAGAGAAGATCCCAAGCCTGAAAAGACCCAATGTCAAAGTTATCCCCAAAAGACTCTGAAGCGACGCTCGCATACTTGTGCTCAGTGAGATGAAGGTAAGTGCCCTTCACACGAGTGGAAAGATTGACTATATCATCAGAGAAATAGAAACTGTAAAAAATAACCCAACAGAGCTCGGAGCCACCAGAATCTGGAAGAGGCGAGGAAGGGCTCTCCTCTGGAGCCTCGAGAGCGAGCACGGCCCTGCTGCACCTGACTCCACACTTCCAGCCCCCAGCACCGGGAGAGGGGAAACTGCTGTTTTTTTTAGATGCTGAATTTGTAGTATTTGTTGTGCCACCACGGGAAACCAGTGCAGCAGGGAAAACCCTGTAAATAACCGACATATGGAGGCCACGATGCCAGGGCCATGCGCCCAGCAGCAACTCAGCAGTGTTGTTTCTCTTCCTGGAGCAGGAACGATGAGGACGGCATAGTGTGGCCAGGGTCCAGGACAGCCGCTGACGCCAGATCCCCCATAAGTAACATCTACCCTCAGGGACGTGTCTGCACCAGTGAGACTGCTGCTCTGGATTCGGGAGTGAGCGCATACTTCATTCTCTTTC
This sequence comes from Homo sapiens, assembly GCF_000001405.40. Lineage (NCBI taxonomy): Eukaryota > Metazoa > Chordata > Mammalia > Primates > Hominidae > Homo > Homo sapiens. The sequence goes on from NT_187679.1 coordinate 256,327, forward strand.
TTTATTCCATTTTGTTCATCTCTTCTGTGAAGTGCCGGTTGAAATATTATTCCATTTGTTGAACCACAAAAAGAATTGAATAGGCTGTCTGGGAGATTCTGAAGTTCTCTAGGAGTCGTTTTTTAGCCGTGTAAATTCCCTTTCGCTCTAGATATTTATCGTAAGACCACAGTGAAGAAGCGCAGAAAACCTGAAGTGCAAGTGCTCAGCACAGCGTTATTTATGGTAGCAGAAATATTAAAAATAAATTAAATAACCAACTTTGAGGATTGGTTAAATACATTTCAGTAGACCCATACCAAAAGATGCTCTGCAGCCATTAATCAGTGCTGCTGCTAGTAATGTGCTTGTTAGTTACATTATTACCTAGAAAATTTATTTTAAAATATTATGAACAGTTTTTTTTTCACAATATTGTACAAAATAGAAATGTCTCTGATTCTACAACAAAATATCAACAGTAATTTCCTCTGGGTATAAAATTACAAGTTAACTTTTTATTTCTCTATGCTTATTGTCTAATATTTTAAAAAATTAACATACATTATTTATGAAATTTAAGAGGTATTTAGAACCAAATTTTTAGAAAATTATAGACACATGAATTGTGCATTTTACCGAAAGCTATTCATGGGTTCCACTAAATGTCCTGAGGTGATTTTTATGTACTTTTCGGGATCTGGGCGACTGGAAATGTCTTTCTGGTTTTAGTGTCTCCTTGTTAAAATAGTGGGGACTTTACACACTGGTAGCTCGTTACGTGCTCCATCTGAGAAGCTGCTAATTCCCTGAGTGCCCTGAAATACAATAATCAGAATACAGTTACTAGGCAAAAGCACCTTCAGCATTTTTTCAGGAAAACCTGTACAACTTTCACTAAAAGTTACATTGTATGACTCAAATCAGGTGTATGGTTTATAATGAGACCCACTTCAGATCACACAATTAAATGAAGTCAGCCACTCACCTTTTCAACGTCCAGGCCTATCACAGGACTACATAGTTATTGCCACAGTTCTGTCAATCTAAAGGGTTAATATAATCATGGCTCAATTACCAAGTTCATGAAAATTTAGCAAATATAAACATACATTCCCTTAACAACACTCAGTACCTTAACTGCGGCGACAGTCAACAAAATGCTCTTGTGTGGTTTTGTGTTGCTTTTTGCACTATTACAAATAACAAAACTACTTTGGAGAAGTTTTTTAAAGTTTACAAATAACTGGCAATTTGGGAAACTTTTCAATGCATAACTTTATAAAAAACAAATAAAGACTCATAATAAATTAATATGTTGAATTAGGTCTAAAGTAGATGGGATTACATTAAAATCTCACTTCATTTTATTAAAAATTCAATAAAACAGTGCCAATTAAATGAGGCAATTGGTAAGAACAAGGAGATTACTTGATGTTCCATACATTCTCCCTCATTATGAAGTTTCACTTTTAACAGCTTGTTGACAGTGAGTCTCTCCTGACAGTAGCAGGGCTAGAACCTTGAGTCAGCTTTGCAATCGACTTGTAGAAAAACCCTCAGATTGCCAGTTAGCACATCTGCCTCTCTAGGTAATTGAATTCTTATTGAAAATACATCATTGGCGATGTATTAGAAATAGCGGGAGAAAGAATGAAGTTAGTAGGTGGAAACACTAAAAATTGAGACAAAAGAACGGCATGAGGCATAAGAAAATAATTTAGAAAGTTGTCACTTGCTGTAAGTTCTATTGCATTTCAACTGGGAGATTAGCTCCCAAAAGACTAATCTATTCCCATTTTACTTTTGTGCCACAGGCTGCAGTTTCAAGAGGTGTGGTGAGCTTCCTGGGCCTGCTGACTTCAGTGTCACATCCCAGAGCTTCGTCTACTGAAACACCCGGCTAATGGACGCAGCCACGCATCGTAACAGTCCGCCCACCAAGCCTCAGGTGGCTTGGCTCTTTACAGAAATTCACAATCATTCCACATGACAGCCCACCGGCATCTGAGGTGCCAGCAAAAGCCATATTATTTTGCTAATATCTAACAATTCAGAGGCAGATGTCACAGCAGATATTCCATAGTTTTTGAGTCTTCATTGCGGTTTCTTGATATCGTGGACAAAGACTCAGGGAAGGCCTGAGCCTCACTGACCAGGCTCTGGATTTTGAGTGTGCTTTCCCCAACCTTCAGAGCTTCAGGCCCTTTTTGTGCTTTATGTAAGCCCAGATACTGTTAAAATATCCTACAAGACACAGGAAAGCCCCCTGTGACCAGGAATTATGCAACCAAAAATGTCAATAGTGCTGAGCTTGAGACATCCTGGGACAGAGAGAGAGAAGGAAAATGTCAACCCAGGACTGAGAAACACGGATAAATGTATGATGCGGAGCAGTCTTCAGGGATGATTCATCATTGTCTGTTGAGATTTGTAGAGCAGGAAGACCTGAGCAGATAGAGAAGTACTTCTGGTGGTAATGGCACTTTCACAAAGTTGAGAGCTGAGAGAGTAGAATTATGAAAATCCCACCTCCTTCTTGACACCCGCACTCACAAGCCTGCTGTGTGCAATCGTAACCCAGAAACTTTGGGCTAAAGCCAAAATTCAAACCCAAGCTATTCTACAAGAAAGGGCAAGAAGACCCTGCCCTGATTAACAATGACAACAATTTCCTTTTAAAAAGTCAGAAGCCTTTCGAGTTACAGAAGTAACTCCCTGCCACCCCTGCCTGCCACATAAAAGAAGGGAGAAGACTGTCTTATTTTTCCCTTCTAATTCATTGACCCACTTCTCTTTTTTAACTTAAAAAGACCATGCATAATTTGAAAAGTCATGGGTCTCAGCATTTCCCAAACTTCAGAAATTAGGGGAAATTGAAGATGATATTTAGTTGAGTGATTTCCTCTGTTTCCCCATAAACCTTATCGCTTATGACTTCAGGAGACACACAGCATCACTTGGTGGCGTAGGCTTTCTCACCCTATGGCACTGAGCTGTCCTTGATAGCCTCCCCCCATGCTCTGGCTCTCCTGCTCCAGAGCCCCTCATAAAATAAACAAAAACCAAAACCCTGTTCTATACCTATTCTATAGGACCCGCCGGCATACACCCAGGCACTAGGTGTGATGAGATGGGCTGATACCTATTCTATAGGACCCGCCGGCATACACCCAGGCACTAGGTGTGATGAGATGGGCTGACAGAGGCTTAATATGTTCCTCCATGTACTAGCAGGTGACTCTGAGACCCAAAAGAACTTGTCATAGTATACCATAATTGGCATAATATCAGACTAGAGAGAAAACTCTAGATATTCAGGGGGCCAAATCAGCTTTCTGTCAATGTCTAAATTATGCCAAAATAGCCATCCTGCCTCTGGGGAAGACCAGTCCCAGGCCTAGCTGACAATAGATTTCATATTCCCTCTCCACTGGAATGTAGAGACATCTCAGAGAGAGAGAGAGAGGATGGTATGGACCACAGCACACTGTTAACATTTATGTTGATGGCTTTTTTGTTGTTTAAGAGATAAGAAGGTCTCTCTCTGTCATCTGCACTGGAGTGCAGTGGTGAAATCATGGCTCACAGCAGCCTTGAACTCCTGGGCTCAAGTGAACTCTCAAAGTGTTGGGAATACAGGTGTGAACCATTGCATCCTGCTGGCTTTTTAAATATAGTAGAATTGAACTCATCTTTTTATCTGACATTCTGTAGAGATCATTACAGGCCCACGAGGTTTTGCTTTTTTTATGGGTTCTTAAAAACTACACAACATGATAGTGCAAATATACACAATGAGGAAGGTCTCTGGAATCAAATCCATTTTTCTGTGAACCTGTACAGGCAGCTTACTTATGTCCCTGAGGTGGGGAACAGGGCAGCCCTCCACTCCACAATTTCTTCCTCTCTGCTCTCTTTCCTGTTTCTCTATCTCCTCCTTTCTTCTTCTTTTTCTCCCATGTCATTTTTTTCTTCTCTGTCTTACCTTACTTGAGCCCACCAGGAACTCCCAGGGGTACCCAGAAGAACAGCTTGGCTGGAGGTGGCACCTGCAGCTGCAGGGCCACTGGTGCCCTGATAGGAAGAAAGGAAAGTAGGTTCTTGTGCCACAAGATTCATCATCATTCAAACATTCATCAAATTTTGATTGAAGATTTCATTTCTGTCAAACAATGGCTGAGATGAAAAGATGAATTAGATACGACCCAGGACAGAAGGCCCAGGACTTCTCATTATTGCTGAAAAAAGGAACATGACAACAACAGGTAAAAATGAAATATGGACAAAGTCTGGAAATTAATGTTTTAGTGGCATTTGAGCTCCGTTGTGGAGGATGGCAGATGTCATCCGGGCTACAAACCTGTGCTGACAAAGGCACAGGTTTGTTATGAATGAAACCTGGTCCCAGGGTGGAAGGACACCAGAATCACTGAAGCAGGGGCAGCAGGCCCACTGCCAGGAAGAAGCAACCTTTTCTGGGCCATGAGAACTTTTGTTAGTCTGAGGAAGTCAATGGAATCTTTCTTAGAGCAATTTTTATCAGTGTGTAAAATAAATAAAATAAAATACATAGGATTACGATGAAAACCTATTACCTGAAAGTACAGTTCTATCCCTGGGCTTAGCTGTGGTCCATGGCCCCACGTGAGCTACTCCTAACTAGGGCCTAAGGCCAAATTACAAGTGTCAGCTTCCAGGCTGAGGAAGAAAATGGTGGAGACAACACAGGAATGAGGGGCAGTTTAGAACCAGGAGCCCACTGTGGTTACTCATCCAACCCATAGGAAGAGGAGCCCTTCCCCTAGGAAGACTGCAGCGAGTGGCTAAGAGTGGGGTTAGCGAGTGGCTAAGAGTGGGGTTAGCGGGTGGCTAACACTGGTGTCAGAACTGAGCAAAATAAAGGCTTAGAGAACTAAAAACAGCTACAGGCACAAGCTGTGGTCTTTGCTAGACTGGGACTTCCCGCTTCCTCCCTCTCTGGAAGACACTGATTTTTCCCTTGACAGGAAGTCATTTTTATTTCACAGAATGCCTCCCCTTAGCAATCAGGGCCAACCACACACGTGACTTAATTCCGTCATCTTCCTTCATTCCAGAAGCTCCATGTATCTGAAAGAATATTTGCATAACCAGCTCACAGAGCAGTTTTTCCTGTTTGTCATCTGCTTCTGGGTAACCTAGACTCCTTTAAGCTCTGGATTTGAATGAAATTTGAATGCTGTAGGCCCCTTCAAGTACACCATTTTGGGATTCAAAGACTGTTTATTTCTGGGGTTTCTGAGAAGCAAGTCAGCTTGCTCTGGGGAGCCACAGCTGATTCTGCCTTTGGGAAGAGTGAAGTTACCAAGACTAAAAGCTGGATTCTGGGGAACACAGGTGGGGTGACCAGGGACTGTGTTGAGAACAAAGAGCCAGCATCCAACAGGGACTCCAGAAGGCTGAGAATCTGTCCCCAACCAGACGTTGCAGCTCAGGAAGAGCTGTAAGCTGCCCTGCTTCTCCCATGCCCACTTAGAAGGAAGCTTCATCAAGAAACCTTGGTTTCTATAAGCACGAGGATGAGGCTACACAAGAAGAACATTGCTTTGTTCAAAGGATCTTCAACTTCTATCCCTTGCTCACCACAGTATGTGAACTAGGACCATTAAAACTACTCAACTCTTTCTTATTTGTAGTAACAACTTATTAATCACAAGTTACATGTTCATTGATGGAGGCTATATATCTATATATTTTATTTTATTTCATTTTTTATTTTTGCTAGGAGGAAGATGTTAAAGGGCATGCACTAAAACATAAACACTATTTCAAAAACCCTAATAACTTCTCTCCTAAAATATTTCTATGGGAAGTAAATGCCAATTTGCTACCATCTCCCGCATGTGGATGCCTGTAAACAACACTGCCCACCACAAACAGTATATTTAATGTGCCACCTTCTCCCTCACTTGTGGATGCCCATGGACAATACTACCCACTACAGAGAGTATATTCAATATGCTGCTATGTCCAGAATTGGTGGGTTCTTGGACTCTCTGACTTCAAGAATGAAGCCGGGGACCCTCACAGTGACTGTTACAGTTTCTAAAGACAGTGCATCCGGAGGTTGTTCCTTCTGATGTTCAGACATGTTGGGAGTTTCTTCCATCTGGTGGATTCATGGTCTCGCTGGCTTCAGGAGTGAAGCTGCAGACCTTCGCGGTAAGTGTTACAGCTCTTCAAGTGACGCGTCTGGAGTTGTTCATTCCTTCCGGTGAGTTCGTGGTCTCACTGGTCTCAGGAGAGAAGCTGCAGACCTTTGCGGTGAGTGTTACAGCTCATAAAGGCAGCGTGGACCCAAACATTGAGCAGCAGCAAGATTTATTGCAAAGAGTGAAAGAACAAACTTTCCACAGTGTCAATCAGGACCCTAGCGGGTTGCCACTGCTGCTTGGGGCAGCCTGCTTTTATTCCCTTATCTGGCCCCACCCACATCCTGCTGATTGGTCCGTTTTACAGAGAGCTGATTGGTCTGTTTTACAGAGAGCTGATTGGCCCTTTTTGACAGGGTGCTAATTGGGGCGTTTACAATCCTTTAGCTAGACACAAAAGTTCTCCAAGTCCCCACTAGATTAGCTAGACACAGAGCACTGATTGGTGCATTCACAAACCTTGAGCTAGATACAGGGCGCTGATTGGTGTGTTCACAAACCTCGAGCTAGACACAGAGTGCTGATTGGTGCATTTACAATTCCTTAGCTAGACATAAAAGTTCTCCAAGTCCCCACTAGACTCAGGAGCCCAGCTGGCTTCTTCCAGTGGATCCTGCACTGGGGAGGCAGGTGGAGCTGCCTGCCAGTCCTGCGCCATCTGCCCGCACTGAGGAGTGCGGCTGAGGAGCCCTTGGGTGGTCGAGGGGACCCTAGCCATCGAGCAGGGGGCGGCGCTCATCAGGGACGCTCGGGCCATGAAGGAGCCCACCGCAGGGGGGAGGCTCAGGTATGGCAGGCTGCAGGTCCCGAGCCCTACCCTGCAGGGAGGCAGCTGAGGCCCAGCGAGAATTTGAGCACAATGCCAGCAGGGCCAGCACTGCTGGGGGACCCAGCACACCCTCCGCAGCTGATGGCCCAGGTGCTAAGCCCCTCACTGCCCAGGGCTGGTGGCGCCGGCCAGCCACTCCGAGTGTGGGGCCTGCCTAGCCTACGCCCACCCGCAACTGGCACTGGCCCACAGGCACAGTGTGTAGCTCCAATTCCCACCTGCGCCTCTCCCTCCACACTTCCCGCAAGCTGAGGGCGCCAGCTCCGGCTCCCGCCTGGCCAGCCCAGAAGGGGGCTCCCACAGTGCAGCAGCAGGCTGAAGGGCTCCTCAAGCAGGGCCAGAGTGAGCGCCAAGGCCAAGGAGGTGCTGAAGGCGACCGAGGGCTGCCGGCACGCTGTCACCTCTCACTACCTTCTCCCTAACTTGTGGATGCCCGTGGACAACACTACCAACCACAGACAGTATATTCAATATGCTGCCTTCTCCCTCACTTGTGGATGCCCGTGGACAATACTACTGCGTCCGGAATTGGTGGGTTCTTGGTCTCACTGACTTCAAGAATGAAGCCGCGGACCCTCGCGATGAGTATTACAGCTCTTAAGGTGGCGCGTCTGGCGTCTGTTCCTTCTGATGTTCAGATGTGCTCGGAGTTTCTTCCTTCTGGTGTGTTCGTGGTCTCGCTGGCTTCAGGAGAGAAGCTGCAGACCTTCGCGGTGAGTGTTACAGCTCATAAAAGCAGTGTGGACCCAAAGAGTGAGCAGTAGCAAGATTTATTGCAAAGAGCAAAAGAACAAAGCCTCCACAGTATGGAAGGGGACCCCAGCGGGTTGCCACTGCTGGCTCCGCAGCCTGCTTTTATTCTCTTACCTGGCCCCACCCACATCCTGCTGATTGGTAGAGCCCAGTGGTCTGTTTTGACAGGCCACTGATTGGTGCATTTACAATCCCTGAGCTAGATACAAAGGTTCTCTACATCCCCACCAGATTAGCTAGATAGAGTCTCCACACAAAGGTTCTCCAAGGCCCCACCAGAGCAGCTAGATACAGTGTGGATTGGTGCATTCACAAACCCTGAGCTAGACACAGGGTGCTGATTGGTGTGTTTACAAACCTTGCGCTAGATACAGAGTGCCGATTGGCGTATTTACAATCCCTTAGCTAGACATAAAGGTTCTCCAGGTCCCCACCAGACTCAGGAGCCCAGCTGGCTTCACCCAGTGGATCCTGCACAGGGGCTGCAGGTGGAGCTGCCTGCCAGTCCCGCGCCGGGAGCCCGCACTCCTCAGCCCTTGGGTGGTCGATGGGACTGGGCGCCGTGGAGCAGGGGGCAGCGCTCATTGGAGAGGCTCGGGCCGCACAGGAGCCCGTGGAGGGGGTGGGAGCTCAGGCATGGCGGGCTGCAGGTCCCGAGCCCTGCCCGGCGGGAAGGCAGCTAAGGCCCGGCGAGAAATCAAGCGCAGCGCCGGCGGGCTGGCACTGCTGGGGGACCCAGTACACCCTCCGCAGCCGCTGGCCCGGGTGCTAAGCCCCTCATTGCCCGGGGCCGGCAAGGCCGGCCGGCTGCTCCGAGTGCAGTGCCCGCCAAGCCCACGCCCACCCGGAACTCCAGCTGGCCCGCAAGCGCCGCGCGCAGCCCCAGTTTCCGCTCCCGCCTCTCCCTCCACACCTCCCTGCAAGCTGAGGGAGCCGGCTCCCGCCTTGGCCAGCCCAGAAGGGGGCTCCCACGGTGCAGCGGTGGGCTGAAGGGCTCCTCAAGTGCCCCCAAAGTGGGAGCCCAGGCAGAGGGGGCGCCGAGAGCGAGCGAGGGCTGTGAGGACTGCCAGCACGCTGTCACCTCTCACTACCAACCACAGAGAGTATATTCAATATGCTGCCTTCTCCCTCACTTGTGGATACCTGTGGACAATACTACCCACCACAGATAGTATGTTCAATTTGTGAAAGCCCAATTTGAAGAGGAGGTTCATTGAGAAATCAGTCAGCCAGCATCCAAATGGATAGTCAGCAAGTTAAAGAAGGGTAGAAAGTTTAGAGAGCAGACAGCAAAACGGAGCCAAAGCTTTTCAACCATCCCTGGGAAAGGAGCTGCTGATACATCTACAGGAAACAGTAAATGTATGTTTTCTATATTTGAGCAAATTGGTGTAGAGCAACAAATCCCCTGGCTGCCCAAGACTGCAGGTATTAGGTCCTCTCCAACCCTGGTGTCATGCTGTGGCTTTATGCTGGAGCTCTGCCATAACACTGTTACGTATCGACGATGCTGACGGGTCACACACAGAATTCATCTTCTTGGTAACATGTTGATAATTTCATGCACCTCGTGGAAAAAACACATTGAGGAAGATGAGCTTCATTTTGAAGGAAAAAAGAGATTAGTTTTAGTACAAATTGTCATTCATTAATCCACTAATGGATAACTCAGAGCTTGTCTCTGCAGAGCCATTTCTGACTTGGCCAGAAAAAGAAAAAAAAGAAAAGAAAGCAATTGCACAATGATTCAGCTTGCGATTTAACATTCAAGAGCCTAACAAATGCATTCAGTGAAAATCGAGCCTTATTAAGCCCTCCTGACTTTGACAAAGTGCTTCGGGTGCAGAGAGATGCCTCTGACACTAGACTTGAGGCACTGCTGTCTCTGATAATGAAAGAAGAGCAACACCCAAAGATGTATAAACACAAGGAACTTTTAAAAGAGAAACTCTGTAACTTTCTATTTCAAAAAAGTCTTTGTCTTCGAAGTTTGTCTATGTGGCCGGCTTGTTGAAATTTTCTTCCTAAACAAAATCCGAACGATAGAAAAGCAAAGTTTGTCTTGAGAGAATGTTTTACTGAGGAGTTTAATCAGCATTATGATCATGTTCTTGAGGCATTTACGTATATACTGAATATAACACACTATGCTGAACGCACTGTAGTGAATAGTAAATTATTATGCTTGGATGTGTATATGACTTTATTAAAAAAACTACTCAAACTCTAAGAATTTTTAAATCTAGTATAATGGAATAGAGACATTTAGTTGTTTTTCAAATGGAGAAGAGATTTATTGCCAGACAAACATACCCAAGTTTTAACTTTTGCTATTTGGCTCATTATTTTCTCATTTTGGTTTTCTTCATTTGCATTTGAATGTGTTTTTCTTCCTCAGAACATTTCTCTTGTATATTTTACTTTTAGCAGCATGTAGTGTTCATATAATTGCCCCATATTTTTAATGTTGAAACATTCTCTTAATAATCTATTGAACCATCCTTCCTCTTCTCTCCTCCCACAGCCTACCTGAAGAGGCCTGCTAACACATTTGGACGGAATCCTTTTGTTCTGTCACCCACACTCTGGTCCCAGCAGTGCCGGTGGGAAGATACACGGGACCATGACTGCCCACGGGTTGCCCACTCAAGCCACTCTCTGTAATTGGCCTAATGAAGGTGTTATGCAACACTGTGACAAATGTTAACTTTATGTACCCTGCCACTCTACAAATCAAAGAAATGAATTCATAAGACATAGTTTTGATGGTGGGGGCATTTCTGATAGAATTTGAGATTATTAAGGAATCTCAGGGGCATTAAGTTTGAAAGTAATATCATTAGATCCATCCAAATAAATGGGGCTGATATTGGGAGAATGCATGTATGTACGCAGCTTGTCTTTCCCCCACAGTCCCTAAAATTGGAAACACACCACCAAGAGGAAGTAATAACACTGCAGTCCAATATTCAAAGTCAGATTTTTACTCGTATTGATGATTTTTAACATTTTGGAATATCACTTTATGCCTCCACCTGAAAGTTGTTATAATACCAGAATTCCAGGGCTGTGTTCACTGCAGTGTTTTATAAAAGTAATATTTTTCTTAGTTATTTTAAGGGGGTGTAAAATGAAAAAAAATTATGGCAGGGATAGTTTATTAGTCTCCTTCCAAATCAACAATCCATATTTTTTCCTAACTCTCACTGGTTGGATATTCTTTCACTGCAGGATTATCAGCTAGTAAATACCTCATAGGAGGGGAAAAAAAATCTCCTTCAGACTTAATTCACATTATTTGAGTTCTTACCTTGCATCTCTCAATTTCCACCCTTTTTCTCATCTCTTTAGTAAGGAAATGAGATAGCATCTTTTGAAAAGGGAACGCCCGAAGTCATTTCTCAGTCCTTGAGATGTTTCTGAAACAGATCAATGCCCATCAACATTGCTGCTCTAGCTCCCAGTCATTCTTGGTGATAAAGAAGAAGAGAGGACACACATGGCTGGCTGCCTGCCTGTCTAGAGAGAGGGTTGGGTTATCTTAATAGCGTTCATTCCAAATCTACAGTGTATGTCATGGTTGTTTGGCCAGAAATGCAGTATATCTGTACTTCCAATATCACTCAGGAAGTTGTCAGCAAAATATGGTGTTTGAATTATATCATAGAATCATAGCAAGAGGCTTCCAGTGCTCCCCAGAAGGGTTTTGACATCTTATCATTGTTTATCCGCACCTCTATAATGTGTTAAAATAAAAACCTTAGCCAAATTAAATTCAACAGAATTTAACTGAGCAAAGAGCAATTCGCCAATCGGGCAGCCTCCCAAATCAGAGAAGGCTGAGAGAGAGACTCCAGCACAGCCACGTCATAGCAGATTTATGGACAGAGAAAGGAAAGTGATATACCGAAAATGGAAACCAGCTACAGAAACAGCTGGATTGGTTACAGCTCAGTGTTTGCCTTATTTGAATGTGGCTTGAACAGCTGGCCCCCTTTGATTGACCAAAACTCAGCAATTGCACAAAAGTAGGTTACAATCTGTTTACACCTCCCTTTAGATTATAGTTCACTATGTACAGAGAAACCTTTAGGCTGAACAGAAAATACGTAAGGAGGCAGTTAGGCTAAACTTGATTCAACAGATTCATAGTGTTGTTGATGCCTAGGGTCTTATTACAAACAAAAATTCACAAGTTTTCTATATGTCCTACCAAATTTTGGCCCTGTAGTTTCTGTCCAGCCTCTTGGTTAAGTTAAAACTTACCATAGATACTTTAATGTGATTGCATAACCAATTAATCTTTTTTTATTCATTCCAACAAACACAAATGTTATCCATTTACATGTAGATGGGCAGGCTCGACTTTAGGCACTAGGGCAGGGCATGTTAGTAGTTAAGTGCAATAAGATGTTAAAAGAATCAAATGATAGAAATGTATAACAGGAACCCTGAATGGGAAGCATAGAGTAAATATCAACGAATTCTGCCCTATTCCAGAAATGTTAAAACTTATAAAGTGCTACCCATTAGTGTCTTCATAGTGCTTTCAGGAAATGCATTCAATATTAGTTCCATGTCTTTGAAAAGACTGTTTTGAAAAAATATAAATCATGTTATTCCATGGTAATGATGTTACTTTAATAAACTAATGACATGTATGGGTGCTAATACAATGGGTATTATTAGTGCATTAACAAAGTAACCAATTAAAGATGTAGAGTTTTCAAATAAACTTCGGGAAAGCATTGATGAACACACAGCGCCCACTCAGGAATCAGTGCAGACTACTTATCTGTTGTCTCTGGGCAAAGGATTCACTCTTCTGAAGCTATTTAGGCTAATAGCTATTATTCCTTTCTATATTCTATTAATATTAGAGTCATTTAAGTTTATTCATTGGCTCCAACAAGCACTATTTAAGCTAATGATGGCATTCAATGGCATCAAAAAGCACGTAAACATCACAGTCAAAAGCTAATCTTGGGATAGTTCCTCCATTCACAAAAGAATCTATCTAGCTCTGACTTTTGAAGTGTACCATAATTCTTGGAAGACAATGGAAGCCGACTCTTGACATAAGACACGTAAAAGTTGGTGATTTCAAAAAAGTTTCCCAATTTCTTCATCAATAGCTCATCCAGTCAGTGCAGTAAAGCAAAATAGATGAGTTCTCAGATAAGACTAAACTATAGAAGAGACGGATGAAACCTGTTTTATTACTGAAATAAGTCATTTTTAAATTATCTTGTCATTTATATTGGGTTTAGCTTCTCTTAATTTGTAACATGAATTATCATATTTTACTCTTCAAAATATTGAACAGAGAATCAATGCCAAGGCAATATTACCCTTAAAACACTACTATTTTTAAAAAATCTTCAGCTATTAGACTTGTCTCAAATAAATAACTTTTCTATCATGTTCATTTATAACTAAGAAAGTGTGTATAGGTCTTGAAGTATTATAAAAGCTATCAGACTTGCTCTCAGCTAAAGAAACCACGGTTTAGGCATGCATGGGCATTATTATCTCAGCAACAACAACAAAAATGTTAACTTACAGAAATATTTTGTTAACAACTTAGGTAACCAAGCTTTTAAATGCAATATAAAGCAATCTTTGAAAGTGCTTTAGTGTGAGGAACAAAGCATTGAATAATATAGCTAACGCTAAAAGTCATTAGAAGCCATTATATTTTAAACTATCACGAACAACAGCTAAAAAAAATTCAGTAGACTGAGTCTCCACTTAGTTAATGAAGCACGTGTTTCTACATGTTCCATGAATATAACAATGCCTACATTCAGTGCTGCAAAGAAATCAAAAACACTAAAACGTTGACCCTCAGAGTTTCTCAAGTGGTAACGCCAATAATCTTCACTAGCAGATATAGAAAATACCACAGAGGTAAAATGAATAAACACCTGGCCATTTAGTCCAATGCATTTGCCTGTAGCTGTGGCCTCCACTTGTTTCTTGTTACAAACAAACTCTAGTCCCTTTAAATCACATAGTCTTCAGAACAGAGAAACTTCCAGTGTTAAAATGGTTGTGGGTCTTGTTTTCATGAATGCATTTTCTCTAACGTGGTCATAATTGTTGCCTTCAAGACCTTCTCTACAGGCTTGTGGATTATTTTTAACAACACCCTTTCTGGATTTTTATTTTTACTATACATTTTAAAAGTTTTTGACTTTATTATTACACAGAATAGCCTGGACATTAAGATTTTTTAAAGAAGCTTCCTGGGTGATTACATGTGTGACATTTGTAAACAATTAGTCTACATTACATTTTCTGTTAAAAAATAAATGAAAGTACAGAAAAGTCTAAGTTTGTTAGGTAATTGGCTTAATTCTTTAATGCACAAAGTAAGTCTTAGGCTTCACATAAGTTAATCAACAGAAATGTAGTATCCACGAGATGTCATTATAATCTCTCTATAGTTAATATGCTAACATTGTGAGGTAAGATAAATGCCCTTTGAAACTCGAATGTAAACACACTCTTTCTAGAGTTAACCAGTGTTATTTTTATACCTTGCTTCAACCTTTCCACACCTCCACCCGCCAACAACCCTCCCCTAAACATGACTCCCTCCTGCTTCATTCCAGGTGGATGGCCCTTTAAGCTTTCACTAGGTGCAAGTATCTTGACTGTGTAACTCACAGCCTGGCAGAGCAGCTGGTTTCAGGAGTGATAACACCAGTCACTACAAGGTTACAATGTTTCTTCTAAAGGGCAGGGGCTTCCCAGAAAATTTCATTCATGCTCTCAGTTCTGCCTGTGGGGTAAAGCGAACTAATTTTACTCAGTCTTCTGTGTAAAAGCTGCTACCCTTCCAATGTTTGTCCCTCCAAAACTCATGTTGAAATTTCACTGTCATTGTGATGATATTGGGAGGTGGGACCTTTAAGAGGGGCTTAGATCATGAGGTCTCTGCCTTCCTGAATGAGCTAGTGCTGTTATGCAGAAACAGGTCTCCCTCTCCCTCTCCCTCTTCCTCTCCCCCTCCCTCTCCCCCTCCATTCCCCCCCTCTTCCCTCTCTTTGCTCTTTCTCCATGTGGTGTCTTCATGTCACAGCACAGCAAGAAGGCCTTTGTCAGATGCCGGCCCCTCAATTCTGGATTTTCCAGCCTCCAGAAATGTGAGTCAATAAATTTCTGTTCATTATAAATTACCCAGTCTGTGGTATTCCATTATATATAGCAGGAAAAATGGACTAAAAAGCACTCTACGGTTTAATGAAATGAGCATATTTTCTTTCCCATTTTTCTTCCGTTTCCTAGAAATAGAGATTGCAAATGGATGCCATCTACATCAATACTCATCTAGAATCTAATTACATCTAGAATCTCTCAGCCATTCAGTGTTTCGTTTATCTATTTCTACATTAAAATATACTCCCAAAATAAATGACTCAAGCCAGCAGCTTATTAGTGTATTTCATCGTTTTGTGGTTTGACTGGCCTTATCATAGTTGTTGATTGGAATCTCCCAAGTGGTTGCAAGTTAGACGGCAGTGTGACCAGAACCATCTGAAAGCTCACGTGGGGTGGCCTCTTCACTCACCTCAGCCATCCTTCCCCCCACTGCCTCCACATGTGCTCTCAGTCTCCAAGGAAATTGCCACTTGGCTTGGACTTTTTTTTTTTTTTTTTTGACGGAGTCTTGCTCTGTCGCCCAGGCTGGAGTGCAATGACGTGATCTTGGCTCACTGCAACCTCTGCCTCCCAGGTTCCAGTGATTCCCCTGCTTCAGCCTCGCAAGTAGCTGGGATTACAGCCAGCTGCCATCATGCCTGGCTCATGTTTGTATTTTTGTAGAGACGGGGTTTCACCATGTTGGCCAGGCTGGTCTCGAACCCCTGACCTCATGATCAGTGGCTTGGACTTTTAATAGCTTGAGAATCCCAAAGTGGTCACACTTTTAACATGGCAGCTGACTTCTAAAGAGGAGGAAACAGCAGCTTTGAGAGCATTTAAGGGCCACAGTATTATTTTGGCTGTATTTCATTGCTCAAAGCAGTCATTATACTTGCCCCTGTTAAAGGAGGAGGAGAGGTAGACTCCATTGCTTGATAGGGTCACGTGATAAAGAGCTTGTGGAAGACATTGTTGTGATAACACTTGGTTGGAAAATACAATCTCCCACATTCAACAAACCTTTGATGAGTGCTCTTCATGCCCAGATACCAGGCTAATTCCTAAAGATTAGAATGTAAGTAATCCATAGTCCCTGCAAGTTAATAGTTGTAGAAGCTGAGTCACATACTACCTCCATCCCCTAGCCTTCCTCACAGGTACTGCTGTCAAGCTACTGCCTGATATTTACATCAATATTTCTTTCCACTATAGACATGACTTTGCTTCTATCCCTGTAAAGTTGTACCTGGTTGATCTCCCCTTCTATTCTAACCTAAAAATCTCATTCTGAATATCTACCTCTTCAGCTGTCATTATCCAATAAGCATACTGTTCATATTTTATATAAATTGTTCATTTTCTTTTTCAATATGTATTGAGTACTTTCTCTTTTTTTATTATACTTTAAGTTCTAGGGCACATGTGTACAACGTGCAGGTTTATTACATATGTATACATGTGCCATATTGGTGTGCTGCACCCATTAACTCATCATTTACATTAGGTATATCTCCTAATGCTATCCCTCCCCCCTCCCCCCACCCCACAACAGGCCCCAGTGTGTGATGTTCCCCTTCCTGTGTTCAAGTGTTCTATAGTGAAGGCATTGATAAAAATACATACATTAAATGGAACATGAACAATCACATAGCCCTTTGTTATACTACTAGATTCTCCCCAAAGCTAATATTAATTCATCAACACATTCCGAATACAGCTGTTCCAGTGAACTAAAAGCTCTGTAAATGTGTTATATGCCAGCCCATATTTCTACAGCTAGTTCATAAAGAAAAACTATGAGGCTTTCACAGGGGCCATATTTGCTATATCTGATCTGTGAGAACCGTATCCTATCAAAAAAGGAAATAGATTTAGTTTAATGACTTAATGCAAATATAAACAGGTCCCAATTGATTACTGTTTTCTATTTTAGGGTCTTACATGATATTTGTTTTATAACATTTTATATTTTATTATCTTTTTGAGCATTAACACTTATTTTATTTTATTTGATCTTTGAAAGCACCCACACCTGTGTAACAAGAATCATTAGTTACAATTTAATTAATATACTCAGTTGAGTGTAAATCATCGGACTTCATGATCCAGAGTTCCACCACAGTATTGTTTTGTCTCAAGTCATCCTCAATAGCAGCACTGATTACTGTACCGTAAGTATCCTGCTTACAAAGAGTTCCAATTGGTCTACAAATTAATAGACCAAAAAGAAGTCATCTATGAGACCATTTCCTTCATATCTGAACCCAGCGTAAGGGTCTAAAGGCTATAATCTCTCACACAAAAACTCTTCAGATGAGACAAACACCTGACTTTGGCTTTGGATGCATACGATTTTCTAAAATATGAACACATAGACTTGGTTTCTGGTAGCTAAATTTTGTTTATCCATTTTTATTTTTGCATCTGATAACCAGGACCATAAATACACTTGGAAATAATAAATTATAAATTATTTGGAATAAATAAAATAAAAGTTATTTCTAAGTTCCGTATTATCAGAAACAGGCTAGTTTCGTTCCTCTGCTGAATCAACTCCTTCACGGCAGAGCTATGCTGTTTCTGGATCTGATACTTTACTTCAGGATTCCCTGGAAACCACCTGGGATGGGCACTCCTGAAGCTCCCTGTGGTCGGTTTTTCCTGTTCATAAAATGTACTTCTCATCTGGAAAACCAGAATGCTACTAAAGTCTGTTTTGGTGCAGGCCTGGATATAATGATATCGCATTATCCATTCCATCTCTAAAATATTTCTCAAATATTAACTAATTAAATCAATTACATGGGTAACTTGCTTAAAGATAGTGACTATATTTTTTTAAGAATGACATGAGCCCACTGCAGACTATTAAGAATCCTGATGTCGCCTGATAAATGTTACCAATCTACAGCATTGCAAGTATTCGTATATTTTATGGCCTTCTGTTTCTAACCTATAGGGAAACTAAGTCACAGGGCTTTACAGCCCTGTAAAAGATCCGAGGTGTCATTCATTCCAACACTAAAATTAAAGGCTCTCCAGATTCTACTTATAAGTCTTATCCACCAGACCATAAATTCTACTTTTGAAAATCATTAAATCCTCCTTTATTTCAAATGAGAAAAGTTCCTTTTAGACCTGGGGGTCTTAGGTTCAAGTGCCAAAAATGAAAGCATTTGTCATAAAACCACAAAAAGAACTTGATTAAAGAACCACTAATGAAGATCTGACATTTAATCTGCTCTTTTATTGGATAAGATCTTTAAATATTCTCTCTTTATGAATTCATTTGGAATAGTACTCGATCATAGGAACGTGACTGTAAGCTGGTACTAAAAGAAGATAATTAAGCAATATGTTCTGCCAAGGACATCTCCACCCTATACCATCCATCATCCCACGTGGAGAGTTAATAATTTCAGTCATGTTGCCGTGACATTGTAATGAGAATCTTTCATATCCTGCAGCGCCTTTGTCAGCTGGACCTGTTCTAAGGACAAATACTGGCATCTCTGTAACAAAACTTTCATATGCTTGCTCTGCCCCTTCTGAGGTCCCCCCGCCCCAACATTAGTAAAGGAAAATGCTAACAGGGCTTAGATGGCAGACAGGCTCCTAAGGACTCGCGCCTCACACTCCAATCGCCTTTGTGGACACGCTACCAATTTACACTGAGATAAACAACATTGTACAAAGTACCAAAGGCAAACTATATGCGCTATTTATTAATACAGAGAGAGAAGCAGATATGCCAAAGTGATATACTAAGAAATAGAGCAATATTTTAATAGGAAATTTAAAAATAGTTTTGTGAAACTGACTTACTATTGAAGGTCTAACAGCACCTTTTTCTCTTTGCTTTTTTATTTGTCCTCAAGAAGTTTCCTGTTGGTTAAATATTTGTATAAAGCCAAAGACAGTTGCACAATTGAAATCCTCCCTACACTACATTCAAGCCTCATCTCAACAAAAACCCTGAAAGTGAAAAGAGGCTGTCAGAATAACAATGAGACTTGGTTTTCAGAATCCCAGTCAACTGGTGTGTGTGTGTGTGTGTGTGTGTGTGTGTGTGTGTGTGTGTGTGTGTGTGTATGTCTTTCTTTTGCCCACATAAAGATAACAGGAAACCTGTACCAGAGAAGCACTTACTCCCACAGTCAAAAAGATAATAATTCCCACATTATTAGTAATTTTTGTTTACTGACCAAACAACTGTAATAGGTGTTAGTCTGTGTTTGTGGCTTTCAAATAGCTCATTTGTGGAAAAATCTGAGCTTTTCGTAAACCTTTATGAAGGTAGAAAAGACTTTAGGCTGGGCGCAGTGGCTCACACTGTCATCCCAGCACTTTGGGAGGCCGAGGCGGGTGGATCATGAGGCCCAAAGATTGAGACCACCCTGGCCAACATGATGAAACCTCGTCTCTACTAAAAATACAAAAATTAGCCTGGCGTGTTTGGCACATGCCTATAGTCCCAGCTACTTGGGAGGCTGAGACAGGAGAATCGCTTGAGCTCGGGTGGCGGAGGTTGCAGTGAGTCGAGATTGCATCACTGCACGCCAGCCTGGTGACAGAGCGAGACTCTGTCTCAAAGAAAAAAAGAAAAAAGGGAAGACTTTAGACTACACCATGAGGTCCTGGAAACCCACAGATGTTAGATGTTTGCCCTCAGAAAGGCCCATAGGAAAGGCTTTCTATTGACCCCACAGGAATACAAGTAACTCTCTCAAGGTTTTCAACTTTATGTTAAGATCTTGAAGTCTCATGGGGCTGAAGACAAAATATTACATCAGAAAAAGATTATGTGGGGAAAAGTGTTTAACCATATTGCATTTTCCAATGAGAAAGTAAACCAAAGAAAAAGTAGACACACCAACAGCATTTTCTTGCTGAGCTTAGTTTTGTCCATATCATAATAGCTTTTGTCTTTTCAGGTTACAGTGGAGATTTAGGGAGATTTTATTTGCTCTAAATAAAGGTTTTGTGTCTCTATGAAGAGATGGGATTCAGTTGGGTCTCTACTCAGACCCCTCATCGCGCATATCACAGTGGCCTGGACACTGGAGGAAAGATTTCCTTTCTCAGCCATCACTGGGTTCACAGCTGAAGCCCAAGTAACAAAAGACAGATTAACAAGTGGAAAGCGTACAGATTTACTAAAGTAAGTCTCATGTGACATGAGAGCCTTGGAAAATGAAGACCCAAAGAAACAGAGTGATCTGTGCATCTTGATGCTGGGTGTGACATCGTGGATAGCTGTAGAGAAGTATCATCAGACAAAGGAGGAAGGGCCTAATGGTAACAAACCAAGGCAACACTTTTTGAATGAGGCCTGTTTTCTCAGATTCTTCTCTGTCCTCATGTCCTCAGAACAAGGACATTCATTACTTCCAGATATGAGGTGGGCACCTCTCACATGAGGATCTTATGACCTAATTCTGGGGAAGGTCAGAAAATTATTTGCTAGTTTGTTGTTGTTGTTGTTGAGAGGGAGTCTCACTCCATCGCCCAGGTTGGAGTGCAGTGGCACGATCTCGGCTCACTACAACCTCTGTCTCCTGAGTTCAAGGGATTCTCCTGCCTCAGCCTCCCATGCCTGGGATTACAGGCACCCACCACCACGTCCGGCTAATTTTTGTATTTTTAGTAGAGACGGGGTTTCACCATGTTGGACAGGCTGGTCTCGAACTCCTGTCGTCAGGTGATCCATCTGCCTCAGCCTCCCAAAGTGCTGAGATTACAGGCATGAGCCACTGTGCCTTGCCTCTTTTCTAGTTTTTATCACCTGCTTCAGGGGAGAGGGATGGGGGAAGGTCAGAGGGTCCTTCCTGCTTCTGTGGTTTTCTCAAATGCCAAGGTGTCGTACGTTGTGGTGTCCAGCCCCGAATTTCATCAGCTGCAACTGCTTTCACCTCTCCTGCTCCCATGAGACTCCATGTTCCCCAAAGGCCATTTCTTCTCATCTGTGACTCTCCATCCCAAACACAATGCTTAGCAGTGTGATCAATATGTGCTTCGTGCATATTAGTTACCTTGAAAATTTTCTCAAGGCCAGACTCCAAAAAAAATTATAAATACATGGAAACCAGTGGAATCAGGTAAAGGCAAAACTATTCAAAGAAACTCGACTCACCATTGAGAGAAAAAGAAAGTCAACCCCTCTCTGTGCTAAGTAAAAATTTTACTTTATTTCAGCACTTTTCAAAACTACGAGTCACATAAAAAAATCACTACGGCTGGGTGCAGTGGCTGACTCCTGTAATCCCAGCACGATGGGAGGCCAAGGCAGTGGATCACCTGAGGTCAAGCGTCTGAGACCAGCCTGACCAACATGGTGAAACCCTATCTCTACTAAAAATACAAAAATTAGCCAGGTATCGTGGTGGGCACCTGTAATCTCAGCTAGTTGGGAGGCTGAGGCAGGAGAATCACTTGAACGCGGGCGGCAGAGGTTGCAGTGAGCTGAGATCGCACCGCTGCACTCCAGCCTGGGGCTGAGTGAGACTCCATCTGAAAAAAAAAGAAAAGAGAAAGAAAGAAAGAAAAAAAGAAAGAAAGAGAAAGAAAAAGAGAGAGAGAAAGAAAGACAAAGAAAGAAAGAGAGAGAAAGAAAGAAAGACGAAAGAAAGAAAAGAAAGAAAGAAAAAGAAAAAAAAGAGAAAGATCGCCAGAAGCCTTGAAAAGTCACCTCTCTTAATAAAGGCAACTGTTTTCCTGTGGAAGGCATTACGTCATGTATGGACATCTTTCCTTTTTATGAAGGACATATTAGTGTTCTTATTTATTGGCCTGATCCTAACACCTCTAAATTTTAAATGAAATTTTTTCCTATATTTAGCCTGGTATGTTGGTCCTTTTTGGATGGGTTTATAGTGGATATTCCAGTTTTCTTAGTTGTTACATAAACTCTTGATTTGTGTTCCAGAAATTTAGTCCCACCTTCCTTTTTTTCCTGTGAAAATACTTTTCAGGATGATGGCAGCTTCATTGTTCCAGGAAAATACTTTTCAGGATGATGGCAGCTTCATTGTTCCAGGGGAAATGTAAATTTGAGTTCTGAAATTGTTTTTGAACACCGGGTTTCTTCTTTTTGTATTTTAACTGAGAAGTAGACAAAGATGTTTCACTTAAACACTTAGACATGATTTATTCTATAAGTTAACTCTTTACCATGGAATAAAGTCACCTTTAGAAAATGACAGAAAAAAATAGATGGGAAGGTGTTTATTCTCTGATATTTTTCCAGACCCCACAGGAGCAAGGAGGGCGGTAACCCATGCTTTTCTTCCCTAAAGCAACAGCCATTTCTCCCCCCCCCCAAAAAAAAACTGCTGCTTTCTCCGAACACCTAAACGCCCTAAATTCTTTCTTTACTCCATTCTGCTCCTGCTCATTCCTCTAACGTGTATAAACTTCCCATATACCATAGCAGATGAGGATCCCTTTGGTTGTATCTTGTCAATACCAAACAGAATATGACAAGTGATAAACCCTTACTGTTGTCTTATTCTTAAAGTTTCAAATGTTTCCCATTATTTCTCCATCGTGGCCTCATATATGTCGTTGCCATTCTCGTTCCTGTGGAACTGGAAAGATTTACTGTTTCTGTTCTGAATTTCAACCCTCAATGTAAGCAGTGGGAAACAAAGCACCCTGTCCATGAGGAAAAATAATAAAGAAAACATTTAACCTAGAAAACAATAAATGTTTGTTTCAAAATGTTTTGTATTCAGTCAAAGGGTGACTGAATACAAAATAAAACAAATCAAGGAGAATTTTCATCTAAATTTAACAAAGTGGGAGACATCAAGAGTAAGTGTCAGTGAGCTTGAGAAACAGATCTCAAAGTAAATCTCTGAAAACCCATTCAAGATCCTGATGAGTAAGAACCGCAATCAAGCAAGGAAGCACAGGTAAGCAAACAAAACATCTAAAAGAAGGCTTTTACATTAAAAAAAATCAGAAAATAGTACCTGACGAACTTCTAATAAAATTCAAAACCCTCATGAAAAATGGGAGGAGGAAATGCCACGTTAACTGCCCCTGCTCTATTGTACTCAAAACTCCTGCAGGTGCACAGATGCAGGGAAGAGAGAGTGTTGTGGTAAGCACGCCTGCTATGTTAGAGGAACTCTACAAATGAATCACAGGAAACAGAATGGTTACATTGTCAATGAGTAGAATCTGCTGTCAGAGAAACTCTATAATGAATCACATGAAACAGAATAGTTCCCTTGTCACCGAGTAGAACCTGCTATGTTAGAGGAACTCTATAAATGAATCACATGAAACAGAATGATTCCGTTGTCACCGAGTAGAACCTGCTATGTTAGAGGAACTCTATAAATGAATCACATGAAACAGAATGATTCCGTTGTCACCGAGTAGAACCTGCTATGTTAGAGGAACTCTATAACGAATCACATGAAACAGAATGGTTCCGTTGTCACCGAGTACAACCTGCTATGTTACAGGAACTCTATAAATGAATCACATGAAACGGAATGGTTCTGTTGTCACCAAGTAGAACCTGCTATGTTAGAGAAACTCTATAAATGAATCACATGAAACAGAATGATTCCGTTGTCATCGAGTAGAACCCATTGGCCAATAACTTTGACAAATATTATTTTCTGGATATTAAACACAAACATAAATATTAAAAATGTTTATGTTGGCCAGGCGTGGTGGCTCACGCCTGTAATCCTAGCACTTTTGGAGGCCCAGGCGGGCAGATCACAAGGTCAAGAGATCGAGACCAGCCCGGTCAACATGGTGAAACCCTGTCTCTACTAAAAATAAAAAAATTAGCTGGGCATGGTGGTGTGTACCTGTAATCCCAGCTACTCAGGAGGCTGAGGCAGCAGAATCTCTTGAACCCAGGAGGGGGAGTTTGCACTGAGCCGAAATTGTGCCACTGCACTCCAGCCTGGGCGACAGAGCAAGACTCCATCTCAAAAAAAAAAAAAAATGTTTATGTTGAAGACAATGTTTCCATCCACAGATCTAAGAGATTTGCCCTCAAATTACAAACTGTTTTGTAAAGTGAACAAAAATGCCCCACGACTCTCCCTACATTTTTTAATATCATTCCTGTGATCATTATCTCTCTTTTCAATAAGTTTCTCATTCAAACAAACTGGAAAATTCAGGTGATTATCTGAATCAAAAGACATATATTTTACCTAAATTATCAGAACAAGGCTCTTAAACATTTTGCTTTGCTGTGGTTATGCAGACTTGTTCTCTGTGCACTAAAGCCTCCCAAATCATTTACATTATTTTGATCCCTGGTCATATAAATTATTAGTTCTGCTTTAGAGATCAGGAAATTGATGCATTTCATTTTTGCATTTAACTCATATTAAGGTGGTCCCTTTACTAAAAGTGGAAGACATAAAGATTAATGTGATTCAGTCTCTGCCCAAAAGGAACTCACACAGATAAGCATATAGATTTTAATATAAAAACATATAAACCATGGAATGTTCTATAATAAATCTATAACAAAGATTTAAGTACACGCAGAAGCCTGGAGATGCCAGTCGGTGCCACAGTCGGATGAAAGGATATATGCGCCAGCCCTTTCTAAATGTTACCAGTGCTGTGCTTAGTTAAGAGAATTGGTGGCCAAACTAGAAACCAACTCATTTTCAGTAGCTACACAGACTACCATGAAGAAATGACTCGGGACAAATGACTATAAACCTTGGGTCAAATAGCAACAAAGATTCTCTTCTTGACCAAACTCTAGTCAGGCTCCTCTGAGCTACTTTTTCAACAAGGTCTCATCCTTGGGCCTTGTCCTCAAGAGCCAAGAGCCAGAAACCTGCTAAGTCAGTTTAGCCAGAACCTCCCGCCCTCAACAAGTGTTCTGATCAATTTCCTCACTCCTCCCAGAACCTCCTGCACTCAACGTGTGTTCTGAGCAATGTCCTCACTCCCCCACCATCCCCAGGTGATATCTCAGCACTCTAGTGCCTGCAGGATTCTGAATAAGTTCAGACAGAATCCCCTGTACTCCTGAGGTTTTTTCTTCATAATTTGGCACCTACTGACTCCCACCCTTGGCTGTAAATCCTCACTTGTCCCTGATATATTTAGAGCTGAGTCCAATTTCTCTCCCTACTGTAAAACCCCATGGCAGTGGTCTCTTAACCTATCAAGATAATCCCGCTGAATGAATTCGGCCTTATTGTTTTAACAAATGTCATGAATGATTTTTTTTCGATGATAAGCTAGACTTGCTATGGTATAGTAGAAAATATACTTGATCATTGACACGGGTTCCTGGCATAGAGTTCCTAAAACCCTTGGCATTTCTGGAGTGATAGGAGTATCTTTTGTTACTCATAATAAGCCCTTTTCAACAATACTGAGTCTATGTTAAGGAGGTGACTCTTGCTGGGCCCCTAGATGGATTCAGGATAGGGGCTGGTTGCCAGAGGAACCAACCAAGCGGTTAGAAGGTTGGAACTTTCAGCTGGACTTCCCCCTACCTCTGAAAAGGGAAGAGGGGCTGGAGATTGAGTTTAATCACCAATGGTCAATAATTTGATCAATTATGCTATGTAATGAAACCTCCCTTAAAACCCATAAACAATGGGGTTTGGAGAAGCTCCAGGCTGAGGAGCCCATCAAGATGCTAGAAGGGCGGCACATCCAGGGAGCGTGTGGGAGCCCCATGCACACACATTCCCCTGATCCCTTACCCTGTGCATCTGTCGCATGTGGCTATTCCTGAGCTACATTTTTCATAGTAAACCAATCATAGTAAGTAATGCTTTCTCTGAGTTATGTGAGTCATTCTAGTGAGTTTTGAAACCTGCACAAGGAGATGTCAAGGGAACCTCCAGATTTAGGAGATGTCAAGGGAGCCTCCAGATTTAGGAGATGTCAAGGGAGCCTCCAGATTTGTAGTCAGCCAGGCAAAAATGTGGGTAGCCTGGGTGACCCATTTGTGGCTGGCATCTGAAATGGAGACAGTCTTGTGGAACCAAGTGTCAGAATGGAATCGAATCATTGAACACTCAGTTGATGTTGGAGAATTGGAGAATCCATGCTGAAAAAGATACCACATCTTTGGTGTCGGGGGGAATGAAAACCTCTCAGCCACATGAACTTCAACAATTTTCCTGCCATTCCAGAGTCAGTTCTGCTTTTAGATATGAGAAATACTAATAACACCTAAAGGCCTCATGCTGAACTGAGTAGCCATTCCCCCTCTGAGATTTAGCATGAACCACATTATATTGCAATTGTATTTATTGGTCCACCTCCCTCACAGGAACATGAATTCCCAGAAGGCAGGAATCACATGTTATTTGTATTTGTCATATGATAGGCAATCAATCAATATTGGTTTAATAAAAGGAAGAAAAAATTTCTAATAGAAGCTGTAATTAATTCCTTTGCTCTAAGCAGAAGCAAATAATGATTTCCGTAACACTAACCTGTCCTCCAAACTATAATGAAAATTGAGCTAGAGGATTTGGATTGGCCATAATAATAATTCTCTGCAGCTGGACAGAACCCACAAGGTTATATATAATATTTGAAACAATGCATAGAATACTAATTAAATTTATAATACGTGGAAAATACCAAATGCTGATGAGGATGAGGAGTAACTGGAATTCTCATAAATTGCTTGTAGGAATGCAAGATGGTATAACCACTTTGGAAACAGTTTGTCAGTTTCTTATACAGTTTAACGTATATTTCCCATAAGACTTAGCAATCACACTCCTGGATAGTTGCCCAAGAGAAATGAAAACATATGTACCCATAAATAC
This sequence comes from Homo sapiens, assembly GCF_000001405.40. Lineage (NCBI taxonomy): Eukaryota > Metazoa > Chordata > Mammalia > Primates > Hominidae > Homo > Homo sapiens. The sequence goes on from NT_187679.1 coordinate 283,026, forward strand.
TTGCATGCAAATATTACAGTGGGTTTATTCACAGTAGCCAAAAACTGGAGGAAAAGAAAAAAAATCAAAATTTCCATCAACTGGTGAATAAATTCTGGTACATTTATACACCTGAACTCTACGAAGCAATGAAAAGGAAACAACTACTGATACGATCAAGAACGAATGAATATCAAAAATATTAGTCTACATGAAAGAAACGAGGCACAGACTGTCTGTTTCCATTTAGATGCCATTCTAGAGAAGGCAACACTAGGAACAGAAAGCAGACAAGTGGCTGCAGGGCTGGGTCTCAGGAAAGACGACCGCCTGCCATGAGGCAGGGAGAATTGGGGGTGACGGACACATTCTGCATCATGACTGCGGCGATCGTGAAGTACGACAAGGATTTGTTTTCCTCTTTCATTGTTAGGTTCATAACTGAGAGTCGAAAACAAAAGATTAACAAGAGAAAGGCATACACATTTATTTAACACAAGTTATACATAACGTGAAGACTTCACAAGTGAAGGCCTAACAAAACAGAAAAACCTGTGTATTTTTATGCTAAATTTGGTGAAGAAGTGTATAGTAGAGAAATATGATTGGAGGCCAAAAGCCTTGATATAATAGTAATAAATTGGGGGAACTTGAGCAAGGCCTGTTTCTTCAGATTCTACTTGACAGCTCTGTGTCTTGAAGGATAGAGATGTTCCTTTCCTAGGACATAGGGAGGGCAGCCCTGAAGTGAAGGTTTTATTATCTACTTTAGAGGAAGGTCAGAGAGTTATTTTATGACCTGTTTCATGGGAGACGAGCAAGGGGAAGGTGAGAGTGACCTTTCTGCATCTGCCATTTCCCCAAGTGCCAAGGTAACGTATTTTGGGGTAGTATATCAAGAACCCCGTCACCATATGTAAATTATACCTTAATAAACCCTGACTTTAAAATGTTACAATTCATTGTTTAGTCCTGTTGTTGATATAGGAGTTAAAAAGAAATTACTTGAGCAGATAGTGAGGGTACAAAAGTGCTCGGTAAAGGTTTTCTTTTTTAGTGAAAAGGAGGCCCAAAGTCACTTTCTAAGAAAGAGCAGCCTGTAAGATGGAGCTGCAGACATAGACAAGCCAGCTGCAAGCTTGCACGGGTGAAGGTCAGCAGGAAAAACCTACCGGGACTAGGCATGTTCAAAATAGCGGCTCCATCTCCCTTTCCCTTTGCCAACCACGTGTACAGGAAGGAGCAGACAAGATGGCACCGGTCAAGTGGAAAGCCCAATTGCATAATAACGTTAGGGTGGGGCGGCCAGCCTTCTCCTCATGCTATGTAAACCTCACACCTGATATAACCAATCTGTGGGTCCTACATAAATCGGACACCACCTCCTCAAGCCTATCTATAAAACTTGGCGCACTCTGCCATTGGCCAGTCTTTCTCTTTCAGAAGCCCTTCTCTCTCTCACAGGAGAGAGAGCTATTCTCCTTTCTCTTTTTTCTGCCTATTAAACCTCTACTCCTAAACTCCTCCATGAGTGTCTGTGTCCTAAATTTTCTTGGCATGAGACAATGAACCCCAGGTATTTACACCAGACAATGTCACCGCTTCATTATTAAGTTGGAAAAATGTAAAACTTAAACATTGTCCCAAATATTCTTTTTTTGCCTTTGTTATGTTTCCAGGACATGGAAGTAGAAATTCTCTTCCCAATAGTAGGAATTTCCAATATTTTTTTGTTAACAAGAAATTTGAAATTAAAATATTGTTTACTTTTTTATGTTCTTGTCTTATTAACAAGTCTATGGTAGAGGGTGGAAGCAATTAAAGGGAGTCCCCTTCACACTTTTGTTGCTTATTTACTCTAGCAAATAAAACCAAAACATTCTATCTTCAGATATGACATAATAATCAACTATGAACCTTGGTGTGTGGGTTATTCAAGCCAGCTTCCTTTCTCCTGAAGCAGGAATAGCTGAAGGATCTCCCCAGCCCACCTTAGATGATAAGTGGTCTTGCCCTGAGGCTCTGGCATTTATATAGCACCTCCAAAAAGCACAGTAAACCTTTAGGAGTTACAATTCATTTGATACAAATTCTGTAGGGCGTCTCCTCCAAAATCATAAAGAGCTATTTCATTAGTTTAGACACTATGACAATTTCTCAACCAATATTGCCGATGGAGACAAGAGGGAAACCTGTGTTAGAAACTAAACCAGTCCCAACTGTTATTTTGACTAAATAAGGGTATCAACTTTTAAATACTATTAACTCTTAGGGCGTGTAAACCAGAGTTGAATGTATTCTAAAGAAGAAAGAGAAAAAAGAAGGAAGGGAGGAAGGAAGGAAGGAAGGAATCAAGGAAGAAGGAAGGAAAGAAGGGAAAGAGAAAGAAAGAGAAAAAAGACAAAAAGAAAAGAAAGGAGAAAGAGAAAGACGAAAAGAAAGAGAGAAAAAGAAAGGGAGAAAGGGAGTGAGGGAGGGAGGGGAAAATCCAGTAAAAAGGAAATGGTTTGCTCGAGTGGAAAAATATGGCCGCAGATTGTAAAGAATGACCTGAGAGAATTAGTGCTTCTTTGAAATCTGAACACGGCCTCGCCATATTTCAGAATTAATAGGGAAAAGAGAAACACAGATTCCTGAAACCCCATAATAATTATGTGTATTACCATCATTTATGTCCCTGTCCCTGGCAGATTTTATAAGAGTTGTTAACAAGTTAAAAGAAGGTGATAGCTTTTCACCTGATTCTCTGCTTTGCCTACACAAAATAGATCATGTATTTTCCTCAAAGCCAAAGTTCCTTCTTGACTGTGCTATTTCTGTCAACTACATGCTTATAAAACATGGAGTCATCTGACTCTTCCCATCTGAATCCCAGCATGCAGTCAGCTCCCAGCCCTCCTCTAGGGATGCCTCACACAGCCACCCCGACACCCTCCTTGCGGTTCACCCAGGATAATGCCACCCACTCTCCTTTAGCTTCCCTGTCTCAAGTTTTTGTCTCAGTCCATCTAACTTCTATTTCTAATGTAATTCTTTATTACAAAAATAATTTGTGCAGATCAGTCTCCTCCAGAAAAACCTCCAATGGCTCTTTACTCCTGCCAAAGGTTAAAACCTATTTAACAGGTCAAAAATTACAACACTTCAAAACGCAACTCACTATCGCCACAATTTTGCTGCTGTTCACCTAAATTAACCCTCTAGTTCAAACTAGCTTATTCTCTCGAGAACGTGCTGTGTTCGTTACCTGACACGAACCTTTGGAAAGTGATTTTTGGTGGGAAAGATATGCTCAGAAAAAAGTTGGCTGAACTTATTAAGGATGTCCTCCCTGAAGATTTTCAGTATGTGGGGACTTCCCATTCCTCAGTGCAAGGCTGCAGGTGCTCGTGCCAGGCTAAGCCTGTCCAGCCCCACGCTCAAAGCACTCTCTCTCCTCAACCGCGGCATTCATCTGCACCATTCTTTTAGAAATTAACATCTGTAATGGCCCACATTTGAGTGTGTGTGTGTGTGTGTGTGTGTGTACACATCAATATATGTAGAAATATGTAGGTTATTAAATATATATTTACATTATGTGTGAAGCAGCATCATTGTCAGTGGTAAGTACCAGGGGTTCATCCTCTTGTGCTGAGAAAATTAAGGACATGAACACATGTGGGTGGGTTAAGGAGTAGAAAGTTTAATAGGCAGAAGAAAGGAGAGAGGAGAGCAGCTCCTTGTGAGAGAGAGGTGTCAGAAAGGGGGACAGTGTCAGACCACAGCAGAGTTTATAGGCAGGCTTGAGGAGATGGTGTCTGCTTTCCCAAGGGCTCATGGATTGGCTTGACCAGGTGGGACGTTTACATAGCAGGCGGGAAAGGCTGGTAGTCCCACCCTAATCTTATTATGCAAATGGACTTTCCACTTGACCTTCACCATCTTGTCTGCTCCTTACAATACAGTGGCTGGCAAAAAGAGAAAATGGAGCCACCACTTTGAACATGCCTAGCCCAGGTAGTACATTACTATGGGCACAATTGCTGACATTCACCCATGCAAGCTTTCAGCTTGCTTGTTTATGTCTGTAGCTTGATTTTACAGGCTGCTCTTTGTTAGAAAAATAATGATTTGGGGGCCACTTTTGATTAAAAGGAAAACTTTACTGAGGACTTCTGTACCCTCACTAACTGACTAAGTAATTTCTTTTCAACTCCTATATCATATGCACTTGTGATGCTGTGAAATATATATTTGACCTTCCTTCTGCTTTCCCCCTGCCTGAGATACAACTCCTAATGTCCTTGGAATCTCTAAGTGCTGTCTTTTTGCATGCTAATGTTGACTAATAGCTTCAAGGTGGGGCTGGTCACCAAAAAGACCAAGGAAGGATTAGAGGGTTGGGACTTCCAGACCCACCCATCAACCTCCTGGGAGGGGAGAGGGGCTGAAGGTCAAGTTGAGCACCAATGGCCAATGGTTTAATCAGTCATGCCTATGTCATGAAGCCTCCATAAAACCCCGAAAGGACAAGGTTGGGGGCATTTCCACATACCTGGACACAGGGAGGTTCCTAGAGGGTGATGCCCAGAAAAAGCATGGAAGCTCCTTGCTTCTTCCCCCATACCTCAACTTACGCATCTCTTCATCTGTGTCCTTTGCAATATCCTTTATAATAATCTGATAAACGCAAGTAAGTGTTTCCCTGGTTCTGTGAGCCATTCCAGCAAATTAATTGAGCCCAAAGAGGGAGTCATGGGAACCCCAAATTGAAGCCCATTGATCAGAAGTTCCAGAAGCCCAGACTGGAGACTAGTGTCGGGGTGGAGGGCAGTCTTGGGGACTGAGCCCCCAACGTGTGGAATCTGATGCTGTCTCCAGGTAGATAATGTTGGAATAGAATTGAAGGACACTCACCTGGTGTCTGCTGCAGAATTGATTGTTTGCTTGCCATTGGGAAAAAATCCTCACACATTTGGGATCCCAGAATCTTCTGTGTTGATTGTTGATATGTGGTATCAGAGCAGAGGAAACACTGTTTGAGAGGTTTTCCCAAATAATACTGTATATTTATGTTTACACTTAGATATGTATGTATACATGATTATTGTTGTATATTAATGTTATTAAATTTATTCATATTTTTCTATTCTAGTGTATTAGTCCATTCTCTTGCTGCTTTGAAAACATACTCAAGACTGGGTAATTTATAAGGGAAAGTTTTTGTCTTAATTGACTCACATGGCTGGGAAGGCCTCAGGAAACTTACAATCATGGCTGAAGGGGAAGCAAGCACGTCCTTCTTCACAAAGGGGTAGGAGAGAGAAGTGCCTAGCAAAGCGGGGAAAGCCCCTTATACAACCATCAGGTTTCATGAGAATTTACTCACTATCTTGAGAACAGCAGCATAAGGGTAACTGCCCCATGATTCAATTACCTCCCACCAGGTCCCTCCCACCACATATGGGGATTATGGGAACTAAAATTCAAGATTAGATTTGGGTGGGGACAGAGCCAAACCATATCATCTAGATAATTTTATTAAATAGTAATCATTTATAATTAATATATCTAACTTATACAGTATATATTATGATATATAATTGATAATTTTAGATTAATATATTGATAGATTATAAAATATATGTTTGCATAAGATATATATTCATTTTTATTTTATATTTATTTGTATGTATATATACACAAAAGCATATACACACAGATATTTCCTTTATCAATATAAATACATATGTGTATACATATATGTATATATTCACATATATCCGATAGGTCATTGTTTCTCCCTACTGGGCAATAGACTTGGCATCCAAATACTTACTTACAGTATGAAGTACAAGTTTTTCAAAAATATAATAGCAGCATAAGGAACAAAAAGAAAGAGTGTGTAAACAAGTGGAACTACTGGAAGCTGTCCAAGATAATGTCCCACATTCTACCTTCTTGGCCTGTCATTCCGATAATCCAAGATCCATGTGAGTCCACAAGTCCAAAGAGCAAGACATTAGGAAGGATAGCAGAGGTGCTGACATCACATACAAGTGACCTCTCTACCCCTAGTCAGGGAATGGGTGAATAGAAGAGTATTTGGAGAGAATGAAAATCATAGAATGTGACTGTCACAGAGTTAATATGTTAATACATAAGATTTATTTTTTAAAAACTTGAAAGAAAAGAAAAACGAATAAAGGTATTGAATTAAAAATTCTTGGAAAAACAAAAATTAATCTCACAACCGCTTAAACACAGATTACAGCAAATTTTGAAATGCCTCTCAAATTATTGAGTGCTTGTTCAGTTATTTTTAATAAATGTATTTAATATGGATTGTGTACAGTGAAATGCTCATTCTTGTGCTAGTAAAAGTGAATTTTAGTAAAATCATTCTTGATAAGACTCTGTATAACTTTGGACATAAATTACTATTCCTGCCTGGGCATGGTGGCTCGGGCATGGGGTGCATGCCTGTAATCCAGCTACTTGGGAGGCTGAGGTGGGAGAATCGTTTGAACCCAGGAGGCCGAGGTTGCAGTGAGCCGAGATCACACCACTGCCCTCCAGCCTGGCCAACAGAGTGAGGATTCATCTCAAAATATATATATAATTGTTATTATTATTCCTTTTAGAAATCTTATCTAAACAAATTTGGGCCAAGACTTGTTTAAAAGATGTCTGGACATTTTTCTCTAACAGCAAAATTGGAAAACAAACTAAACGTTGATAAATAAGAGAAAAGTAAGATCAATTATGGTCTGTCCCGTATGAAGCTATTTATTTAAATTTTGCTCTTTATGTATTTTCAATATTCAGTGCAATTGCTGCCACCAGCAGCTGTGTGGCCTTGGCAAGAGCCTTCCTTCCTCTGCGTCTTGATTTCCTCCAAGGTGGTGGAGACCTCAGTCCTCCAGAGGACACCTAGTTGCGCTTGCGTCTGCTGCTGCCACTGCTAGATCTTTGACCACGGAAGGTAAATGAACCCCTCGAGGCCTAGGTTTCTTACCTGTAAGGCAGGGATAATAATAATCATAACGACCTCGGCCGGGCGCGGTGGCTCACGCCTGTAATCCCAGCACTTTGGGAGGCCGAGGCGGGCGGATCACGAGGTCAGGAGATCGAGACCATCTTGGCTAACACGGTGAAACCCCGTCTCTACTAAAAATACAAAAAATTAGCCGGGCGTGGTGGCGGGCGCCTGTAGTCCCAGCTACTTGGGAGGCTGAGGCAGGAGAATGGCGTGAACCCGGGGGGCGGAGCTTGCAGTGAGCAGAGATGGAGCCACTGCACTCCAGCCTGGGCGACAGAGCGAGACTCCGTCTCAAATAAATAAATAAATAAATAAATAAATAAATAATCATAACGACCTCATCAGCTTGCAAGAATCAGTTCATACACACACACACACACAACACACACACCCCACATTATACACATAAAAAACACGGACAACAGAACCTTTAGAGCTGTACGTGATAACTGTATTGTTTTCACCTTTAAAATGAGAAGCTTAGACAGACAGAATCTGAGAGCTCCCTTTCAGTTTTAAATTGTTTATTTTTGTTTTAAATTTTGTTTCTCAGACCTCTCAGGGATGAATACAATTTTTAAACTGGGGGAATTTTAATTACTGATTGGGGTTATCATATTTAGATGGTTTGATAAAGAATTAAACTTGCAGTTCTAATTTAAAAATTGAGAAGGTATCCTGTTTCTACTGGTGAAGACATGAAACCTTAGACCTGAACAGAGGATGCCATCGTGTATAAACCAAACAAGAACCAGAGCAGCACAGCTCACCTTGGGGCCACTGACCCAAACAAAGGAAAAGGGACCTGCCTGCAGTCATCGGCCTCAGCGACTGGCCCTACAAACCTCAAATTTTGAAAATGCTATCACTCGGAAAGTGGCCTATTGGGCAAAACAGAAGATTGGCCTCAGTCACATGGTAATATTCTCTTTATTGTGCCATCACACCTCAAAGAAATGAGTTTAGTTCCATAAAGCTATGTAACTAATGAAAGCCATTTTCTGGCTGGCCAGTAAGATAAATGGCTGATTGGCACATACAAGGTATCACCTGTACCTTTCGCCACCATCACTCTCGTGACAAAATATCTTCAAAGTGGTTAATTTGCCAGTCAGATATTTAGTTTGATTAATTGTTATAAATGAGTTAAAAGCACACTGCAGTTCACTTTTCTCATACATTATTTTTCCTCCAACCCTATTGCTGTACCTTCTGAGACATGCTGATTGGATTCATTCTCTTTTGCTAAACAGGACTGCCCAAAATTTACTAGATGCTGAAACAAGAAGAAAATAGACTATTTTAGAAGAATTGAAGCAATCAAATATTTGCTCTGGCAAAGGAAAAGCTTTTTACCCAAAATATTAGTTTTGCACTAACTTCAAAGCTTTGCTTTGCTTCCTTCTCCTTCCCTGCCCTCTCCCTCTTCCCACCTCCCCTCACCGTAGACAGACAGACAGACACGCACACACACACTTTCTGGGCAATAAAAGCACACAGAAAATAAAAATAAAGGTTCAAAATGTGTTATCTCAACACTAACAATATGTGTGATTCCCGAAAAAGGCAGGTGTTGGGACAGAAACAGTGCTGATGCTTTCAAACTTGAGTCTGTGTCACCATAGGTGAATCTGGGAAAAGATGCTTCCCACCACCAAAGAGAATGCCAGGAAACAGCCAGTGTCTCCGTGGGCACGGTGGGTTCTAGCTGTATTCTCAGAGCCTTTTTCCCTCCATGCACAGAAACACTTCATAAAGAATAAGCACGAATGGAAACAACAACAGTGGTTGATAGTTCCTTCTGTTATTTGCCTCTTCTTTTTGCTATCAGTTTAAGATGGGAAAGTCTACCTACATTTTTAACAAAATATCAGTAGAAAAAAAAAACAACAGAAAAAGAAACAGAGTTCTCTCCAGCCTCTCAGAAGGGCTGCAGTGACTGGCATAGTAAATTATGGGAAAGTTCCACATTGTGGCTCAGCATGCCCAAGAACAAAGCCATGGACAGTTTTTCACAAGAGAAATCTCAGGGAATAGGAGCAGATTATATAGCACAAAACATGCCACAGCCTCAACAATGTTTTCAGCCCTGAAACAAGTAACAGGACAATAGGGTTGTTGGAAAGCTTAGAGTCTAATCTTGATTCTAAAACATGTAATATGGTCATGTGCCCCATGACGTCTCAGTCGATGACAGACCACATGTACAACAGTGGTCTCGTAAGATTATAGTACTGTATTTTTATTGTACCTTTTCTATGTTTAGATACACAAATACTTACCATTGTGTTACAACTGCCTACAGTATTCAGTACAGTACCCTGCTGCTTGCAGCTTAGGAGCAATAGACTTTATCATACAGCTTAGGTGTGTGAGAGGCTCTACCATCCTGGTTTATGCAAAGACACTCTATGATATTTGCACAATGACGAAATCACCTAAGGACACATTTCTCAGAGCAAATCCTGGTCATTAAGCTACACATGACTGTATATAAGCTGCAGTGTGCGACTGACATGTCTCTACCAATGATTAACTATTCTTCAATGGAGAGCAACATTCCAAGAATTAAATTGTAAAAGCCCGTCTAATAACAAGTGTTCTGTATTTCTGAGACAATTCTGTCTTTGCCTCCGAGAAATGGCTACTTCATAAACTCCCGTAACGGAAATTTTACAGGTGAAAGCGGAGCTAGCCATGAGCACAGCCAGGAGCCATTTATGTCAATTAGGAAGTGGGTTAGCAGCCCAGGTGAAACTGGATACGAGTGAAAGGACTAGATGCAGTACACTAGAATTCTCCTCTCTGACCCGTGGACCAGGAAGAATCCCTCTGCACTGTGTAAATATGTGAAATAATGGGAAGACCAAAGAGGAGTCCCCTCGGAGTCCCGTGCTTGAAGCCAGCTGCTGGATAGCCAGACACCGTAGCTTACTGTGGAGGAGCACTCCATCCCCAGATGAAGAAAGAGGGTGCACTGCATAAGGAGACGCTTGCTGATTAGACTTCAGAGGAAATTCTTTATCAGAGGTGCGTATACATAAAGCGCAAAAATCACAGAGAATATATAGGCTCAAGAGAGAAGTCCTGAGGACCCATTTTAGGGAGAATTTTTCAAGTAGAGGAAGAGACAGAATAGGATCAAATGGGGGGACGAAATGTGTTTAAATGATTCAGAGAGAAGAAAAATCAGCCAAGGGAGACGTCAAGGAGAAAAATAAGGCAAGTAGCACAGCACTGTGATGATGACAATGCTGAAATGGGAGGAGGCTGAGGGCCGTCCAGACAAGCCACATGCTAACGAAGGCGGGAACGCCGCGGGGTGAACAGATGCTAAGGAAGGCGGGAGCGCGGCGGGGTGAACAGATGCTAAGGAAGGCGGGAGCGCGGCGGGGTGAACAGATGCTGACGAAGGCGGGAACGCCGCGGGGTGAACAGATGCTAAGGAAGGCGGGAGCGCGGCGGGGTGAACAGATGCTAAGGAAGGCGGGAGCGCGGCGGGGTGAACAGATGCTGACGAAGGCGGGAGCGCGGCGGGGTGAACAGATGCTAACGAAGGCGGGAACGTGGCGGGGTGAACAGATGCTGAGGAAGGCGGGAGCGCGGCGGGGTGAACAGATGCTGACGAAGGCAGGAACGTGGCGGGGTGAACAGATGCTGACGAAGGCGGGAGCGCGGCGGGGTGAACAGATGCTGATGAAGGCGGGAGCGCGGCGGGGCGAACAGATGCTAAGGAAGGCGGGAGCGCGGCGGGGTGAACAGATGCTAACGAAGGCGGGAGCGCGGCGGAGTGAACAGATGCTAACGAAGGCAGGAACGTGGCGGGGTGAACAGATGCTGACGAAGGCGGGAGCACGGCGGGGTGAACAGATGCTAACGAAGGCAGGAACGTGGCGGGGTGAACAGATGCTGACGAAGGGGGGAGCGCGGCGGGGTGAACAGATGCTAACGAAGGCAGGAACGTGGCGGGGTGAACAGATGCTGACGAAGGCGGGAGCGCGGCGGGGTGAACAGATGCTAAGGAAGGCGGGAGCGCCGCGGGGTGAACAGATGCTAAGGAAGGCGGGAGCGCGGCGGGGTGAACAGATGCTAAGGAAGGCGGGAGCGCGGCGGGGTGAACAGATGCTGACGAAGGCAGGAACGTGGCGGGGTGAACAGATGCTGACGAAGGCGGGAGCGCGGCGGGGTGAACAGATGCTAAGGAAGGCGGGAGCGCGGCGGGGTGAACAGATGCTAACGAAGGCGGGAACGTGGCGGGGTGAACAGATGCTAACGAAGGCAGGAACGTGGCGGGGTGAACAGATGCTGACGAAGGCGGGAGCGCGGCGGGGTGAACAGATGCTAACGAAGGCGGGAACGTGGCGGGGTGAACAGATGCTGACGAAGGCGGGAGCGCGGCGGGGTGAACAGATGCTAACGAAGGCAGGAACGTGGCGGGGTGAACAGATGCTGACGAAGGCGGGAGCGCGGCGGGGTGAACAGATGCTGACGAAGGCGGGAGCGCGGCGGGGTGAACAGATGCTAAGGAAGGCGGGAGCGCGGCGGGGTGAAGCACAAGGATGTGACTGAGAAGACGAAGTCGCTGTTGGAGAATATGGTGACTTTGACTGAGAAGGCGACGTCACTCTTGGAGAATATGGAGGCCGTGAGGGCCGTCCAAACACAACAGTTGCTAAAGAAGGCAGGAGTGTGGTGGGGTGAAGCACAAGGAGGTGACTGAAGGACGACGTCACTCTTGGAGAATATGGTGACTTTGACCGAGAAGACGACGTCGTTCTTGGAGAATATGGTGACTCTGACGGCTGAGATTCTGTGATGCCCGGGAAGCCGTGCAGCTGCTCATTCTCATTGTACATTTATGAGAAAAAAGCAAATGAAAAAAAATTAATCCAGAACTTACTTAAGGGAACACAATATGGTAGAATCAGCCAAAAACCTACATTTAAAGTATAGGAGAGTAAGTTGTAATGGTGGACTTGAAATAGTAAGGAAAGCTTGTATTATCATCTGTTTACTAAAGCAGAAAGGGAGTGTAACAATAGTTTTTAAATATCAATGAAAAATCCTTGGAAAAACATATCAGTGCCAGTGTTGAGACACAGTCAGAAAAATAGGTCACCTCAGACGTGTGAATAGGCTCAGCAAAGCCTAACAGAAAATTCTGTCACCTCATAAAGTACTTTTCAATTGCAGAGGTCAAAGTGCTTCTTACATTTAGTACATGTGTTTGCATGTGTGTGAGCATAATTTTATATATATTACATATATATAACATCTTATGTTCTATTCCTATGAAATAGAAAAGAGATATAAAAACAAAGACATTAAAAGACTTAATTAACCAAGGATTCACAAATGACAATTCCTGGGGGGTTCTGGAGCATGGAGATTAGGAAGAGAAGTGACATGTAACATGACACAAGGGATTACGAAAGGCAGATAATATGAGGGAAAGTCGTGAGGGAGCTGGATTTATTATCCTGAATTAGAAAATAATGCAGAGTCTCAAAGTATCCATAAAGGAGAAGCTCCTCCCGTGGCAAGTGTGGTTTCCCATGCAGTGGGGGAGGCCCTGGCCCTGGCCCTTCATTCCTCCCATTCCCTACCTGGTGGGCTCTTGAAGACATTCATTCTCACTTCCCCATTCCCCTTCCCTTAAGGGGCCCTGAGGGGTGAGGGGAAGGCCAGACCTGTACTCTGTACATTACAAGTACCCACCTCTCTCTCTCTTTCTCTCTTTCCTTCCTTCTCTCTCTCCCCATTTTTAGCACACAGTTTGTTCAGACTCCTGACCCCCCACCACCAGTCACAGGCGTGGCATGGCATAGCCTCATAGATTAATTACATTCATCCCCACTAAATTCTGCATTGTGCTCTGTGTGACAATCAATATAATAATGTGCTTATATTCTTAGAAGTTTTATACTCATGACAAATAAGATATTAATAGGAGTGGCTTCTGAAATCTGTGGTTGCACATCACAAAATACATCTGCACTTCCCCCGTTGTTAGTTACGTCTAATGATCTTTCCATGGTTTAAGTGAGCATTTCTGTTGGTGTTGGCATTGGGGTTAGAACAGAATCAGCTACTCCCTTACAGTGACCAAAGTCAGACATGCCTGTATTTGAACCCATATCTGCTGCTTTTTAGCTCTATGGCCTTTAGCAAGTTATTTAATCTCTAAATTCTTAACCAGATTTCTCAACCGATTGCAGCTCACTAAGTTGTAGCAAGAATTAAATGAGATAATCCGAGGGCACCGCTGTGTCTGCCACCGAGTATGTATGTGAGTTCTGTGCACGTCATGATGGTTAGCTGCTTACGTTCTTCTTCTTATTTTCCGTGACTGTCTCCTAAATCATACAGTGACAGTCGCTCTGGGATTCCTGGGGGTTTCCAGCAGTGTCTCCCTGGTGAATGATAAACTTCAGCAGTTAGGTGAAGTGCTTGGTAAGGTAAGATGGAAGCTTGACATGAAAAAAAGTTTTGCAAACATCCCCATAGTGGAAAAATAAGACCAGGGAAGAAGCTGCTAATTAGCCAGAGGTGCAATGATGTATCATGACTGTCAAAGCAAAGGAGCGAAGTCGGAACTATTTTTGCTGTAGAGATAGCCAGCCTTCAGGAAGGGCCATGTTTCCCAGTAATTTAATCTGAAAGACATAAATCATGACGAAAATCTCCCTGCATTAGTAATGGAGAGAAATACCTGCATTCTAGCAAGGTTTGCATGATAAAAGACAGGTTTTCATACATCTGAGATCAGGAAAAATAATTATCAATCAAAGATAACCCCCTGCATCCTCGTTTGAAGTGAAATTGGAGGTCAGCGGAGGCCAAGTAAAAGAGAGGACTGGATTGTCTCTGCAATTTTAAGGAGCTCATTACTAGAAATGCTGTTTTACAAAGTTTCAGCTGTATGTGATTTTGAAACATTAATGATTTAATGCCTGCCAGACAAAGAAAGGGAAGGGATGTCAAAAACCAAAAACAGGTATAACTGTATCATTGGCATGAAAATGGAGGCTGACATCATAATGATGAGAAATCACCCCAGGGCCAAAGTATGCCAACTGAAATCATAGCCAAACACAAATCTCCTGGTGCTTTGGAAGAATGCAACTGGAAATTGATAAGAGCAGAGGAATCTGTATTATCTGCTTCCCAGAGAATTGGGAGTTCACAGAGAACAAAGTCAGTGGCCCCAGCAGAACCCTTTGCTATGCAAATAAGCTGGAACACTTACCCGAACACACTCTCTAAATCAAGATTACCTGTAATTCCTCTGTGCTGCAGCCTATAGGGCTGTAGAGGCTTAATCATATTTATTACCTAACCAATGAACACATGGGCTGTTTGATCAGAAAGTAAATTTTGGCCCCACCTCACCATTCCTACAACATCATGCAAGACCAGTGAAGTCCTGAGAACCTGGAAAGCCCTAATCTGCATTCAGTGACTGGTCTCTGACCATTTCTTTTGCCCGCACAACTGAGTAATGGAGGGACAAACAGCTTAAATTGTTAGCAACTACTAGACTATAAAATTCTTACTAAACAGTCACTTTCTTGAAAGCTCAGACCATTTTTTATTCAATTTTTGCAATTAGTAGAATTTGTCTCCCTGGTGGTTTCTCAATTAAGATTAAATAGGGCCCTCAAAGATGCTGGGGAGAAAAAACGAGAAAACAAAAAAATTAAATGGGGAATGAAGAAAAGAAAGGAGAAAATGAGAAAAGAAATAGGGAAGGGAGAAAGGTAAAAAATAAATGGCATGCCAATCATTAACTCTAAAATCCAGGTGGAGAGATATATCAAACCAGGCAGGCAGGCCAAATTAGTCAGAGCAATGTTTGCTGGCCACTATAACAAGCAACCCAAAATCTCAGTGGCTTAAAATAAAACTTACGTCTTTCTCATTCGAAGTCATTGTCCCTTCAGTGGCCCTACTTGGTGGGTCTCCTCCGAGTGGTAACTCAGAGATAGGAGCTGCTTCCATACTATAACTCTGCCACCTGGAACATGTGGGTTCCTGGATTCCCACAGGAGGAAAGAAGAGAGTCGTGTCTTATGGTCAACTCTGGAAGTGGCCAGCGTTCCATCTACACAGCACTGGTCAGAACATGGTCATAGGCTCCCAACATCACCCATAAGGGAGTCTGGGAAATGTAGTCTTTTCAGGTTTCCAACAAGTGGGGGCCACGCGATGAGGAAAACAAGGAGTTCAATTCTGGACAAATCAATCGGAATCGACCACTCTTGTCACACAGGAGCACACAATCTGTGTGAGCCGACAGGAAAGGCTCCATGAAAATAAGGGACTCGAGCATGAAGAAGAAAGGCATCTACGCGGAGGGTACTGTATGAGCAGAAATTTGGAGGTGATTGGTGCAGGTGGAGCTGAAGGACAAAAATTAGTCTCATCTGCCTGGAGCAGAGTTTCTGAGGAGCTGAAAAGAGTGATAGAAGACCAGATAAGTCAATTAGACAGATTGGAGAGGCTATTTCATGCCAACCAAGGAGATTTTTGTGGCAGGCCAGGTGTCACTAACAGCTGAACAGGCAGGCCTCCGTAACAACTGTCTCAGCCCTGACTGAGTGTTGAGCTACATACTGAAAGCTGAGAGAGCCAGTGTCCTTATACAAAGGCTGGAATGCAACCAAAGCCCACCAGGAGGTTTGCCCAGGCCTCTCCCAGGTCTTGAAGCGTGACAAGATAATGAAGGAATTCTTAACAGGACCTGTTTAGGATTAAACAACTTGTTATTGGGGGGCTGAAGAAACTCCCCAGACTTCCACAAAAATGTTTTATTGGGGGTCTAAAGGAACTCCCCAAACCTCCATGATTTAGCAGGAGACAGGATAAATGTAATCACCCCCAGTACCTGGACCCGTCTAGATTAAGTCAATTTACTGAGGCTGCAGAGGAAGGGCTTCAAATCTCAGATCTTAGTTACAGATTAGAGTAAGTTAATCACTTATGTCTTTACACGAATGCACACGTACACACAGACATATAGCTTAAAAGGTATATAAGCTCTGTAAACCTTGTAATTTTTGGTTAGTCTGGCAATATTTTCCAGGCCTTCTCCCTGTACCCGGTTACAGAAATAAGCTCTCTTCTTTCCCAGTTTATCAGCATCTCATTATTGGGCCACGAGAATAAGCAGCCAGACTCTCAGTTTGGTCTGGGAACAAACGGACTTATCCCTGTAGGTAATAAAATGCCTTTGTCCATAGCTCCTGGCTATGAGCAGTGAACGAGGCCAAGGTTCTGCATGGCCCATTGAAGAGGAGACACTACTGGCAACAGCAAGCCAGGCAGGCTGCTCTCCAGGTGCTAGGTACCAGTCTTGGCCTCAATCCTTAACTATCTGTGTGAATTGGACAAGTCCATCAGTTCCTTGGTGTCTCAGTTGATTCATCTATAAAATGAGGAAAATAATGTGTAATGTGTAAGAAAGCTCTGTGGATCAATGTTTAAAATACGTGAGAGAAACACCAAAAGCAACACCAAAGCGTGCAGTCATGGAAGTCATGACTTCAGCGTGAAGTCATGATTACTGAATCAGTGAGGAATAAGGGTGGAGGGTGGGGTCACGGAGATGGAAACACCAGTGGAATAAGGGTGGAGGGTGGGGTCATGGAGATGGAAACACCAGTGGAATAAGAGGTAGAGAGTGGGGTCGTGGAGATGGAAACACCAGTGGAATAAGGGTGGAGGGTGGGGTCATGGAGATGGAACACCAGGGGAATAAGGGTGGAGGGTGGAGTCATGGAGATGGAAACACCAGTGGAATAAGAGGTAGAGGGTGGTGTCATGGAGATTGAAACACCAGTGGAATAAGAGATAGAGGGTGGGGTCGTGGAGATGGAAACACCAGTGGAATAAGAGGTAGAGGGTGGGGTCGTGGAGATGGAAACACCAGTGGAATAAGAGGTGGAGGGTGGGGCCATGGAGATGGAAACA